>NC_000001.11:211669435-211820950 GCF_000001405.40 Homo sapiens
GAAAGGACTCCTTTATGGCTAGGTCTTAAAAACTTGGAAAAATAAGTTCACTGGTGGTTTTAACTCATGAGGTTCTGGGTCCACAAGGTAATGCAGATGTTAACTTACCTTTTTTCCCTTTTCCCCTTTTCACCTTTCTAAGAAGGTTCAATCCCTGAAGATTGGCACATCTTGTGCTGGGGCTTGGTAGCATTGCTAGGGTCTGTTTTAGGGGAAGTACTGCCCTTGCATTTCTAAACTACATTTAGCAAGATACTCTCTCACTGACTCTCAATCCTGTCACTTCATCTGTATCCTTCTCTGTGATCCTACGGCATTTTCCTTCTTCTCTTATGTCAGCCTGGTCCCCAGAACATCTCCTTCCCCATTCTATAGCCAGAGTTTTTCCACATAATCTCTTTATTGATTTTCCCTCTGTTTTTAGCTGTCCTCCGTCCGCCCTCCATCACCCCTCCCCTTCTTCTGGTCTTTAATCTCTCAATTAGAGCTAGAGGCAGAGTAATAAACTCTTATTTCTGGCCCCTTCCCTCACTACCTGCCACTGTGAGGTAGGCAAGGACAAGGGGAACGAGAATTTGAATTCTTTTTGCAATCTTTCCTTGCTACCGACCATCTGTTAGCATGACAGAGTGGGAGGAGAAATAAAGAAAGCGCAGAAGGTGGGCCAGCAAGGATGTGCAATTTGCCAAATTTACATATGTTTTCACTTGTGTTAACACAGTAAATTTAGCTAAGAAAGTATATTTAACGTTTCTTCAGTCTCCATTGATCTACAAGAGAGAATGTATGCTCTGACACTTAACTGACAGCTAGAAACAGACAATATATCATCTTATCATCTTTACCTTTAAGTTTAACATCCTCGTAATAATTTCATTCAATTCATCAGAGTAACGGTATGGAATTCGCCTGAATTTGCCTTCTCTGATTTTCCCAGCGAGTTCTTTCTGGCTAAAAGCTGTAAATGGAGGCCTAGGGTTAAAAAAGAAGAAGAAGACGACGAAGACATTTTCAAATTGTAAAAATGAAAATATACAATAGGAACTAAATCAAAAGCACAGCTTAAGCTCCAGTTTGTATTTAAGTTTCTACTTCTGGGATTTTCTTCTTATAAGTAAGTTTCCCAACCTTGGCACTATTGACATTTGAGGTCATATAATTCTTTGTTGTGGGGGGCTGTCCTGTGCATTATAGGTATTTTGTAGCCTCCCTGCCCTCTACCCTCTAGATGCCAGAAGCACTCCCCAGCTGTGATAACTAAAAATTTATCCAAACATCATCAAATGCCCCATAAGAGGCAAATTTGCTTCCCTTATCCCTAGTTGAGAATCACTGCTCTACAGAATAGTTTCAAAGGGAAAGAAAATGAAAAGAAGAACAAAGGAAAAGAATTGGAGCTCTTCCCTGCTCTACAGATCCCCAGACCTCTACCCGAGTCTTGTTTCATTTCTTCCACATCCTTACAGTAGCTTTACCTTACCTGCCTGACCTATGTGCTCTCCCTTGAGCTAAGTGTCAATCTAATAAGAAAGCACCTAACCAGCCAAGACCCTTGAACAGTCAAGACCCAGCCTCATGGCTTATAGTTTTAATTTGTGAATAGTTTCTTTTAGCCTGTTCATCTATCTACCTTAATTTTACCCAGGGTACAATTCTTTCAGACTTGAATATACTTTCGTTAGCACAGAGGCTCAAAAAACTGAACCCAGTGAAATGTGACAAACAGTACAAACCTTAGACTAGGAATCTGTCTTCATCATACTTACATTAATGCACATAACTCATACAGCAAGCAGCCCAATGACCAGATATCTGATTTCTCATTGTAGGACATGCGATTCATTTGTTCCTATACAGGGAAAAAGGGTAAGAAAGTGGAAGGTGTTAAGAGTTTATTTTGTTTTGAAACTTAAAAAACACATTAAATTACTCCTGAGATAAAAACAGAACCTCAAAGTTTTTAGCTTATACTTTATCTTGAAATTTATAATGGAAAAAAGGCAATGATCTTGTTCCAATACACTCCATCATACATAATTCATTCACTCATTTTCCATTCACAAATGAAAGTGCTTAGTATAGACTAGGCACTGACAATACAGAGGTGAATATGAGAGACTTCTACTCTCAAGGCAAATTAAGAAACACCATTTTAAAAGAACTAGAGGAAATTTAAGAATAGTCAAAATATGTATCTAGTCCACATTTAAATGGATATAGACATAAATAGCTAATTGAATTATCCATTTATATTTTGTCTTAGTCCACTCCATAAATCACAGTAGTAACTAATATTATCCTTACCTATTTTATTGTTTGCCTTTCTTCCACATCTACAGTAACAACAGCCTACCAGAGCTCCTATTCTCAACAGAGGGAATAGAAGCAATCTCTAGTGGCTGGTTAGTGTTTTAAAGTCCAACTGGTGAGTCTGATGCCACTTTTTGACAATCAGTGCCTTAGGAAAGCTGAACCACTCTAATTACAAGGGCAGGAGGGAAAAGGAACAAAAGAATAGGTTTCAAATTTCCCAAGAACCACTTCTGGATAATTGTCCTTTATGTTAAAAACATTCTATTTGGAATTTGATACAGTGAGAAAATGGTACTGTTCTGGCTATTTTTAGTCAAAACCAAAATCATTAATTTACAAAGTTTTATACTATAGTAAGATCTGTTAACATAATTTATAAATATTTGGAAAATCCTAGAAAGGTGAACTACTAAAATACTAACAAATATTTCTTCATCTTTATCTGTTCAGATGTTATATACTAACACATTAGTGCTATCACAATTGACTTAAACTTTTTAAAAGCCATCAGACAATATCTAATAACAGCCATAAACATTTACCCCAGCAATTTCATTTTATGAGCTACACTCCAAGGAAATAACCAAAAAGGAAGAAAGAATAATTCATACAAAGATATGCAGAGCAGTACTTCTAAGAATGGTGAAACATGTTGGAAACAAAATATCCAGCAATAGAGGTAATTGGTGAGTGGACTCAGCAAGATATTTCAGGGATAGGCAACAAAAAAATAAAATGTACAAAAAGTTAACATTGTAAAAACATGCTATCTGAAGTGAGCAAACTTCCTGAGCTCTGATTCTGCATACACAAGAATCATTTACAGAGCCTCTTAAATGCAAAGTCTAAAATAAAAAGTAAAATATTAAAAAAAAAAAAAAACAGAGTTCAAGAACCCACCCAGAGATCGAAATTCACTCGATGGATTTGGGTTTGGGTTTGGGACCCAGAACTCTGCATTTTAAACAAACACTCCAAGTGAGTCTGATGCAGATAACTAGGACCTACACATTGGGAAACAACTCTTGAGGGCAAGGACAAAATCCATTTCATTTTTGTAATCCTTGAGTTTAATGCATCATAGTCATTCCATAAAAGCTTGAACTGAATATGCTTTAATTTGCATGAATGCTCAAAAAATTGAACCCAGTGAGAGATGACAAACGGCGCAAACCTTAGACTAGGAATCTGTCTTCATCATACTTACATTAATGCACATAACTCATGCAGCAAACAAAAACTGATATAGACTTTATTGGTCTGGTGGTCCATGTGGAAAAATATAACAGTATTTTCAATTCTTGGCTACTAGATATTACTAAACAAACAGAAAACTCAATTTCCCTGCTTCAGAATGCTTAACATTAAAAGATGTTTTGGCTGGGCATGGTGGCTCACGCCTGTAATCCCAACACTTTGGGAGACTGAGGTGAGCAGATCGCTTGAGGTCAGGAGTTCGAGACCAGCCTGGTCAACATGATGAAACCCTGTCTCTACTAAACATACAAAAATTAGCCAGGCATAGTGACATGCACCTGTAGTCCCAGCTACTCTACTTAGGAGGCTGATGCAGGAGAATCCTTTGAACCTGGGAGGCAGAGATTGCAGTGAGCCCAGATCGCACCACTGCACTCCAGCCTGGGCAACAGAGCGAGACTCTGTCTCAAAAACAAACAAACAAGAAAACAAAAATAAAAGATGTTTTAAAAAGTAGCTAAATTCTGAAATACTTACAGGAGACATGTAATAAGGTGTGCCAACAAATGTTTTTGCAAAACTCGTGTCATGGTTTAATATTCTAGCTAGCCCAAAGTCTCCAAGCTTGACGTTTTGCTTGCCATCCAGGAAAACATTGGCTGGTTTCAGATCCCGATGCAATACGGTATGACCACCATCACTTCGTCTGTGGCATTCCTTCAGGGCCAGAGTCAACTGAGTCATCACTCGAAGAACAAACTCTTCATCTAAGTATTGCCTAAAACCAAAGCAGTTATACAGCATATAACTTCTAAAAAAATCATTGCCAAGATGGGATGATATAAATTATCCAGTGTACAAATAGGGAATTTATTTATTTATTTATTTATATTTTTTGAGACAGGGTCTTACTCTGTCACCCAGGCTGGAATGCAGTGGCACGATCATGGCTCACTGCAGCCTCGACCTCCCAGGCTCAAGCAATCCTCTTGCCTTAGCCTCCCAAGTAGCTTGGACTACAGGCACATGTCACTATACCTGGCTAATTTTTGTAGAAACAGGGTCCCACTATGTTGCCCAGGCTGGTCTTGAAATCCTGGGCTCAAGTGATCCTCCCGCATCGGCCTCCCAAAGTGTTGGGATTACAGGTGTGAGCCACCACACTCAGCCTATAAATTGTTATTTTGATATAAAATATGGGTGTTGATTCACCAGGAATTTTCTAAAGTACTGTGGACCTACCAAACAAATACAAATACACTCTTCCATATTACTGATCCTAAAACAAGATGCTTAAAATAAATGAAACTAGACCAATTTCAGCTTACATTTTTAAAAGATTATGCTTACCTTTCCTTGGTTCCCTTTGTAATTACACTAGCCAGATCCCCTCCTTCACAATATTCCATTACAATGTACAGTGTTGTATTGGTCCGGTCAATAATCCGATCATAGTAACGAACGATGTTTGGATGTTTCAGTTCACGAAGCAAATTCACTTCAGAAACAAGCATCTGTTTCTCAGCTTCTGTCATGGAGCCATAGTCAAGTTCTTTCCAAACTAATATCTGAAATAAGAATTTCCAAGGTATGAATGAACTCATTATGCTCAAAAACAAAGAATGAAAGTTCCAAGATTTAACAAATTACCTCCCTTTTAATTATATCCTACAATCAAGGTCATTATCTAATTTAGTTCAATGAACTTAAGGAGCTGTGAGTTTACTTCCATAATCTTCCTCCAGTTCTAAGCAGTAAATGTATGTTGTGGGGAGACAAACGGGAATGAGGCACATGAGGACTCCCCCAACCCCTACCCTCAGTTGGTTAGTGGGAAGTTGGCTAAAAGGTACTATAGTCAAAATTGGGGTGAAGGTGGTCAAAGTCCCTGCCCCATTCCACCCCAGTCGTGTTTTCCCAGGATGAGACACCTTGGTAAAGATCCCTCCATCAGCAGCCAGGCAGTTTCCTGTCCAATGTTACTTTCTGTAAAAGTTCTACCTATATACATTGGGAAATATGAATCCAATAATCCTAATAATGGATATTTTGAGGGAGTCTGACTGCAGATACAAAGCTTCGGGTTCTGGTAGTCCTGCCCCTTTCTTGTGCCTGAGAGGGCCACTCTTAGAGCTCTAAAAACAGCTCAGGAATTAGTTACCTGTCACCAATGGAAGGTCCTTAGCAAGCCAAAGCAGGAGAAAGAGAGAAATGGGGAGAGAAACGGGAAAAGATGGAAATACATATATCAAAAGAAGCGGTCTCCCATCCTTTAAGCCACCCAGGACAGGCTGTCAGATGCAGACCCAGGAAAGACGGTTTAGTCTTCCGGGCACCCATTTCCTCAGCCCTGTCGGTTCCCTTCGGTGGCGCAGGGCGCTCGCCCCGAGGCGACGAAACCTAAGCAGGGGCAGGCGCAGGGTAGGTCCCACGCTCACCTTGCCATCACTCTTCCTCCGGATCTTCTGGCAGCGGCCGTAGGAGCCTGTGCCAATGGTGTACAACACTTCATAGTCCTCAGCCCGGGAAGGCATGGCCGGCCAGTCGCCAGAGTCGCGCTGCCTCACGCAGGTTGCGCCGCCAAGTGCGGAGCTCCAGGGACCAGGAACTCCAGGGACCTGGATGGAGAAGCCCCCGAGCAGCACTGACCCGCCACCCCTGCCTTGGGCCCCGTTTAACCGTCGCGGGCCCTGATCTCGCAGTCTATTGGCAGGCGGTGGGCCGCTTCGCCTCTCTCATTGGCTAAGAAGAACACAACAATACCCTAGGCATTTTGGGAAAAGTGTCACTAGGCAACCGCGTCGGCGTCTGCTTTTAACCTGTGGGAGAACCCGGCGAGCTAAGCCAAACGGAGGGCGGGAGAGAGGAAGCGGCAGCTGGCGCCTCTCGGCAACTCTAACCCTCTGATAGAGATCGCCAAGGTAACCGAGATCTAAGGTCCTCCCCTCAGGCTTCTTTGCACACCGCTTCCACCAGATGCCTTCTGACCTTTGCACTCTGGCCCCTCACACTACCTACTCTCCCCGGCACACGCATTCCTCGCTCAGGTTCCAGTACCCTGAACCTGGGTGGGGTCACGTTGAGGATATGCTGAGAGCTGAATACAAATTAGAAATACAGACTCCCGGGTGGGCGCGGTGACTCACGCTCGCCCGTAACCCTAGCACTTTGGGAAGCCGAGGTGGGTGGGTCGCTTGAGCCCAGGAGTTCAGACCAGCCTGGGCAACAGGGCAAACCTCGTCTCTACTGAAAATACGAAAATTAGGCCGGGCGCTGTGGCTCACGCCTATAATCCTAGCACTTTGGGAGGCCGAGGCGGGCGGATTGCTCGAGGCCAAGAGTTCAAGACCAGCCTGGCCAACATGGCGAAACCCCGTCTCTACTAAAAATGAAAAAAAAAAAAAAAAAAGTAACAGAGCATGGGGTTGCAGGCCTGTAATCCCAGCTTCTTGGGAGGCTGAGGCATGAGGAATTGCTTGAACCTGGGAGGCAGAGGTTACAGTGAGCCGTGCGCCACTGCACTCCAGCCTGGGCGACAGAGTGACACCCAGTCTCCAAAAAAAAAAAAAAAAGGAGAAATACTGTCGCTCTCCTACCAAGTACTTTACACGTCTTGTCCCGTTTATGTGTGCCAAATACACAATTAACCCTATCGACAATACTTCATTGAACACAGATTCTCTTTTACGCACCCACACACCAACGTTCTCAGCTTACCCAGCCAAATGAACAGCCCCATGTTTACCAGGGAAGGAGGACTTAGAGGCCTCCATCCAGGGCTTGTTAGAGGAATATGTAAATTACCAGAAAGCTAATAATTTGGAAATGCATGAACAGGCCAGTTTTCTTTAAATATCTGTTCAGCAAAGGATTAAAAGACACCTGATTTTCTATTAATAAGAATTTAAAAGCTCTTTATGTAAAAATAAGGGACTTATTACATGCCCTGAATATAACATAAGATAATTGGAATTGCCAACCAGGAGAATTTTTAAATTAACATTCAAGGGCACTGTCTTACCTCAGGGGAATAGGACCAATTTAGGTTTCAAAAGTTATGTAAGGCACTGCAAGTGGCTGTGTTAATTAGCATCATTTTTTTATTTTTGTGCCTCTTACAGATTGGTATCCATAGAGCTTGCTGTGGTTTGAATGTATCCCCCAAAGTTCATGTGTTGGAAACTATTCTTAATGCAAAAGTGTTAAGAGGTGAGACCTTTAAATTGATTGGGTTATGAGGGCTACCCCTCACGAATGGATTAACGTAATCACAGGAGTGGGTTATCTTGAGAGTCGGTTGGTTATAAAAATGAGTTTGGCTTTCCCTTGCTGTTTCTCTTACCATGTGATGCCTTCTGCTATTTTATGACCCAGAGAAAAGGCTGCTGCCAGATGCTACCCCTTGATCTTGGACTTCCTAGCTTCCAGAACCGTGAGCCAAATAAACTATTGTTTATAAATTGTCCAGTCTGTGGCATCCTATTATAGCAACATGAAACTGTATAAGACAGAGCCCTGGCCGGGCACGGTGGCTCACACCTGTAATCCCAGCACGTTGGGAGGTCAAGGCGGGTGGATTACGAGGTCAGGAGTTCAAGATCAGCCCGGCCAACATGGTGAACCCCGTCTCTACTAAAAATACAAAAATTAGACACAATGGCAGGCACCTGTAATCCCAGCTACTCGGGAGGCTGAGGCAGAAGAATCGCTTGAACCCAGGTGGCAGAGGTTGCAGTGAGTGGAGATCACACCACTGCACTCCAGCCTAGGCGACAGAGTGAGACTCCGTCTCAAGAAAAAAAAAAAAAAAAAAATGAGCCGTTTGGTTATCCTGCCCCAAATCCAGTCCTGCACCTTCTCTCTGGCCACTTCTGCTTTTGCTCTAAACGCACACTTTCTCAGTTCCTCACCACCACCACCATCTTTGCACCTGTGATTGCATTTGTCCAGAATACTGTCCAACCCACTCCCTTATCCACTCCAGTCATGTCTGCCCAGAGGACATAACGTGTCCTTCAAGATTCAATTCCAACTTTTTCTCCTGTAATCTGAGAAGCCTCTCTGGCGTACTTGGACAGTCAATCCTCCATCTACAGTGTTCATAGACCACTTTATACATAAATCAAAACTTATCATTATTTGTTTACATGGCTCTCACAGTAGCTGAACTCCGAACTGCTTATAGCCAGCATAAGTCCTGTAATAGAGAAGGCATGCAATAAAGCTTCGTTAAATAAAAATCTGCGAAAGCCCCTTATTAATAATTATGCAAGGATTTTGAGTGGGCCCTCAAGTACTCAATTGCCAAATGCCCCAGCTCTAGGCAGAGACGAAATATCTGGAAAGGAGCCATCCCAAGAGTATGGAATGTGGCTCCTACGCACATATGCTCATTTAACAAGTATTTATTGAGCACTTGCTATGGCCCAGGTATGATAGGTATTGACATGCTGGCTTTTCATTTAAAAAAAGACAGTGGAGCCCCAAAGACAATAATAAAGAGTAGCACAGGAGGCTGGGTGTGGTGTCTCATGCCTGTAATCCCAGCCTTTTGGGAGGCCGAGGCAGGCGGATCACCTGAGGTCAGGAGTTCAAGACCAGCGTGGCCAATAAGGTGAAACCCCGCCTCTACTAAAAATACAAAAATTAGCTGGGTGTGGCCAGTATGGTGAAACCCTGCCTTTACTAAAAATACAAAAATAGCTGGGTGTGGTGGCACGTCTGTAGTCCCAGCTACTTGGGTGGCTGAGGCAGGAGAATCGCTTGAACTTGGGAGGCAGAGGTTGCAGTGAGCCAAGATTGCACTACCACACTCCAGCCTGCTCAACAGACCGAGACCCTGTCTCAAAAAAAAAAAAAAAAAAAAAAAAAAAAAAAAAGTCCGGGCACGGTGGCTCAAGCCTGTAATCCCAGCACTTTGGGAGGCCAAGGTGGGCGGATCATGAGGTCAGGAGATCGAGACCATCCTGGCTAACATGGTGAAACCCAGCCTCTACTAAAAATACAAAAAAATTAGCTGGGTGTGGTGGCAGGCGCCTGCAGTCCCAGTTACTGGGGAGGCTGAGGCAGGAGAATGGCGTGAACCCGGGAGGCGGAGCTTGCAGTGAGCCGAGATCGCGCCACTGCACTCCAGCCTGGGCGACAGAGCAAGACTCCGTCTCAAAAAAAAGAAAAAAAAAAAGGGTAGCATAGGAATCACTCACATGACAAACCCTAAAGGTTGGCCAGAGTTAGCCCGCATCATGAGTGAGGGCAGGACAGCCCAGCAGAGACCACTAGACACCAGAATAGAAAGAGACACTGGGAGATGAGAAGCATGTGGGAGTCAAACAGGGACAGGTTACAGGGAACATCCTTTCCCCTATAACTTCTTTCCTTTTTCCTTCATATTCCATCCATTCTTTAAGTCTCAGCTCATGCCCAATTTCTTCTCTGAAATTTTTCCTGATTGACTTCAACCCACTATGATCTATCTTCTAATTACTCTTAAGAGTAATCAACTGTGTTTTTACTCATTTAGAATTATACTAGGCCATATTACTAGCTTCTCATGTGCATGTATCTTCTCTGCCTTATTAAATGGAAAATTCATCCTCCAACAAGTATAAATAGAGGCTGAGTCAGGTGCCAGATGCTGAGGATACCACAGTGAATAGGACAGACATATAGTCCTGTAGGTGGAAGAGATGGATGTAACCTAAGTACACAGAGAAACTCCACTGTGACAAATTGTGGCAAGAATTAAGAAGAAAACAAACGAAGAACTGAGATGATTCCATTTAAACAGAGAAAGAAGATGAGCAACTCTATAAGAGTGGGGCCAACCCTTGAACTTCTCGATAACCACTCTCCCCACACCCATGGTCTAATTCACTGTCTTCACACTTTTCTTGCTAACTGTGCTCATGTTGTCAGTTTTCATTTAAATTTGGTGAAATCTCAAATAAGAGAGTATTTGCACTTGCATTTTCTCCCACAGGCACTCTGTACATGTCCATAGAGACACTGATTGCTATTATTATTATTTTTTGAGACAGGGTATCACTCTATGGCCCAGGCTGGAGTGCAGTGGCACGATCACAGCTCACTGCAGTCTCAACCTCCTGGGCTTAAAGCAATCCTCCCACTTCAGCCTCCTGAGTTAGCTGGGATCACCGGTGCACATCACCATGCCTAGCCAATTGTTTTAACTTTTTGTAGGGATGAGGTCTCACTAAGTTGCCTAGGCTTATCTTGAACTCCCGGGCTCAAGCCTCTCAGCCTCCCAAAATGCTGAGATTTCAGGCGTGAGCCACCACGCCTGGCCTGATTAATTTTAATTTTAATTTTCTTTTTCTTTTTTTTTTTTTTTTTTTGTGATAGAGTCTCACTCTGTCACCCAGGCTGGAGTGCAGTGGCGCCATCTCGGCTCACTGCAACCTCCGCCTCGCGAGTTCAACAGATTCTCCTGCCTCAGCCTCCCGAGTAGTTGGCACTATAGGTGCAGGCCACCATGCCTGGCTAATTTTTGTATTTTTAGTAGAGACAGGGTTTCACCATATTGACCAGGCTGGTCTCAAACTCCTGACCTCAAGTGAACCACCCGCCTCGGCCTCCCAAAGTACTGGGATTACAGGTGTGAGCCACTGCATCCGGCACCTAATTAATGTTTAAAAGAAGCTACTTGAAGATTAATGAGCATCCCAGACTTAATGTGCCAAAAATCAAGTTCCTGATCTTCATCCCAAATTTGTTCTCCTCTCCATCTTCTTAGTCTCCAGTAACTAATGTATCTGATTTTGTTGCTGTTTGTTTGATTTACTGCAGTATTCCCAGCACCTAAAATGTGCCTGGAACAAAGCAGGAACCCAGCACTTGTACATCAAATGAATGGATGAATGAACAAAGCCATATTTCATTGCCCTCAGCTTCGTTTTTTTATGTTGCATTAAAGACCCACTAGAGGGCTGTACATCACTGCATAATAAACGAGGAGCTGGCGCCTGCGCGGCAGCACTACTCCGCCTGTCCCTACAGGAAATCCCCAGATTTGCATGTGTAGAATTTAAAATCAGACAAGACATTTGTGTATAAGTCTTATCTCCACAATTACTTGAAGCAATTTGAAGTCAGGGATTATGGCAATTCTTTCGAGTGATTAAAAAAGATTTCTAGAAAGAAAAAAGGAGAGATTCTTTGTTTATAACAATCAGAAGCTAAGAGATGCTTTTAAAAAAAAGATGCATGACATACTATATGCTCAACAAATAACCACGTTCTAGAACAAAGAATGAGGTGTTAGGCAGACTGTTCTTAACAGCCACATACCACGTGAGATAAACAGGACAAGATGTAGACTGAGAGACAGCTTCAGCTAAATGGCAGGCAGCTGGAGGATATGATGAGAAGAAAGTTATCTTTGAAACCAAACAGTGTTTAGTTAAGAGCTCCATCACATTTTAAAAGGCAATAGTTTTGAATTTATACCCAAGGGTACAAATTAGGGAAAAACATTTCTTTTCAATATAAGGATAAACTTTCAGACAAAGACAGACATTCATAATTTTCCATGTTTTTTCCTGTTACTTGTAAATTCAGGATATTTGTTATCTCTAAGAATATTCATCACCTAAATGTGATAAGACAAATGTTAAAACTAATTATGGACGGTGAGGCCTGCTAGAGTCTGAATGCTTGTGACCTCCCTAAATTCGTATGTTGAAACCTAACCCCCAAGGTAATGGTATTAAGAGGTGGAGCCTCTGGGGGAGTGATTAGTGCCCTTATATTAATACAAAAGGCCCCAGGGAGTTTGTTTGCCATGTGTTTGCCCTACCATGATGTGAGGACACATAGAGCATGCCATCTATGAGAAACGGGCTCTCATCAGACACTGAATCTGCTGGCACGTTGACCTTGGACTTTCCAGCCTCCAGAACTGCAAGCGATAAGTTTCTGTTATTCATAAATTACCCAGTCTAAAGTATTTTATTATAGCAGCCTGAACCACCTTGCACAGGACCATAATGTGTTTCTAAGGGACTTAGGAGGTTTTAGAGGACACGCCTACCTTTTCCATCGGGGGCAGCACAGTGATGGTAGGAGCAGTGAGCTTGAGCTCCAGGTTCCCAGGCTCTTCTAGTTCTGTCTTCTTTGTGTGTTTGTTGGTTTGTTTGCTCACTCTGTCACCCAGGCTGGAGTGCAGGGGTGCCATCTTGGCTCACTGCAGCCTCCGTCTTCTGGGTTCAAGCAATCCTCCTGCTTCAGTCTCCCGAGTAGCTGGGATTACAGTTACCCGCCACCATGCCCGGCTAATTTTTGTATTTTTAGTAGAGGTGGGGTTTCACCATGTTGGCAAGACTGATCTTGAACTCCTGACCTCAGGTGATCCTCCTGCCTTGGCCTCCCAAAGTGCTAGGATTACAGGCGTGAGTCACCGTGTCTGGCCTAGTTCTGTCTTAATGAGTTATGTGACCGAGGGAATCCATTTCACCTCACTGGAACACTGGGCTGTTTAGTCATTGGTCTGACCCCGAATGACAATTTTTGTTAAGTAGCTATGTCTGCATTAGCTTTTCAACATCCCTTCTCTGGGCTCTGTAAAATGAAGTTGTTGAACCCTTCCTGCTCTAAATGTTGTGATTCCATCCCCTCTCACCAAAACTTCACTGGAACTGCTGTGTAAATCAGCTCTCTCTATGTAGTATGATAATTGCTCTGAAAGAGCTTTGCCTAAAATGCAAAGAGGAGGACCCAGATTCTGATAAAGATGGCAGGGCATGGGGGTCAGGGCAAATGTTCCTGGGGAGGTGACACTTGAATCCCATCTAAAGGAGCAGTTGGAATTAGGAGAAGGGAAACTGTGGGTAAAAGCATGGAGGCCTGCTGTGAGCTGCAGGTTGGGTTGGTGGACCAAAGGGTACCTGTGGTTCGTTACCTGTAAGACAGGTGGATGGACAGGTGAGCAGGAAGACCCAAGAGTTGAGGAAGTCTACTGAAGGTGATGGACTCACAGTGGAAGCTTTGAGCAGACGAGCACTACTAGATGTGTGCTGTAGAAAGACTTCTCTGGTAAAGAGTGAATGCAGGGCATAGGAATACAGCGTGGGAAGCTATCGCAGCAACCCTGGGGAAATGACACTGGCTAAACTGAGGCAATGGCTGTGGGAATGAAGAGGGGAGTCCAGAAATGCCTGGAAGGTGGGTTAGATGAGACATGGTGATCAACTGTACATAAGGTAAACGGAGGGAAATTCCTGGCTTGAGTGACCAGATGGATGGTAGCGTAGTTCACCACAGGAGGAAATGCTGGGGCAGGAGCAGCTTGGGTAAAGCTGATACTGAGTTCATGTTGAGCCCCAAAGGCCTATGAGGAGCTAGCTGGCCAACACGCAGTTGGATACAAGGTCTCAACAGATTGGTCTAGGCCAGAGACAGAGAGCTGGGAGGTGATAACAGAAGCCACGTTTGAAGATGAATATGCCCCAAGAGTGGCAGAGCAGGAAGGGAGAAAGGAAGGAACCCTGGAGGTTATTCTGTGCAAGCAGAGGAAGAAAACTCAGTGAAGGAGACCAAGGGAAGCATCCAGGGGAGTAGGAGAGAATATGGAAAAAATTGTCACACAGGTTCCCATAGAAGAAATGGTTTCCAGAATGCAGAAGTGGTCCATGATGCCAGATGTTGCAGAAAGAGCAAATAAGGTAAGGGCAGAGTTGTAAACACTCGTTTGGTCATTTGGAGAGTATAGCAACCTCCCTAAGAGCATTTGCAAGTTGAGTGGGGCTGAAGCCAGCCAGCAGAAGTTACAGTGGGACAAGATAGTGAGGGGGGTTGATAGAGTGTGTGTGGACAGCCTGGTCAGCCTTCCAGAGCAGCTGTGGGACCTGCCCTCCTGCCTGTTTGCACCTTGTTCCTGTGCCCCAGGAGAAAAAGAATCCTGCCCAGGAGGCCTCCCACCCCGACATAGGAGGGCACCACCCACATGGCATCAGCCTGCAGCTGATTTCATATTCCATGCTCATGACATAGTACCTTATAGGACATGTCACAACTCACGCCTTCCCCTTATCCGCCATCGGTGAGTTCCCCAAGCAAGCTGTGCCACCATGAAAGTGGTGATCACACCAATCTGAATGCAACCCAGCCCAGACCTTGGGAAGGGCTAAGGGAGTGGGGAAAAGGCGACAGGTGGCTGAGCATCTGCTTAGTGTGAGGAGGGTTCAGAAGGAAGTCAGTGATACAGGGCAGGCAAGGTCGAAAGTGGAGCGTAGCCTGCTGGGTTCCTGGCTTTGCCCAGGAAAGAATTCAAGGGCAAGCCAGAGGTAGAAGAAAGCTTTATTGAAGAAGCAGTGTTACAACTCCATGACTGCTCCTGCGGAGGAGGGCTAACTTAGGCAGGGAGTAGCGGCTCAGGGCAGTTTTGCAGTCATATTTATGCCCACTTTTAACTGCATGCAGATTAAGGGGCAGTTTATGCAGAGATTTCTAGGGGAGGGGTAGGCACTTTTGGGTCATTGGGTCATTACCATGGAAAGGGGTGGTAATGCCCAGGTGTTGCCATGGCTACAGTAAATTGACATGTCTCAGTGGTGGGCATGTCTGATTCAAAGCTGCTTTCACCCCGGCTCTGTTTTAGCTAGTCCTCAATCTAGTCTGGTGTCCAAGCCCCACCTCTGGAGTCGAGTCCCACCTCCTACCTCAAGACAAGAAACTTTTGTTTTGACTTTCAGGGGATAGAACAGAAAGACATAAGCACCGGCATGGGCCTATTCCACAGCCAAGGCAGGCAATGAGCTCTCAGGTACTTGCAACAAACTCGAGTGTGCATTCGGTCCAGGAGGAAGAGCCCGCACCCTTTTTTGTTGCTGTTCAGTGTTAATCCTTCGGTGGAACCCACCAGGACAGCAGTCTCAGTGCTGTTGTTTTTGACAGGGAGAACATCCCAGGGCAGAAAGGAAAGCCTAAAGCTACAGCCTGTTCCTCTAGTTCTTAGAACAGCTGGTTACTGAGCTCTCAGGCCAGACACTGGGTAAGCATCATCTTATTCTGTTTCACAACAGCCCATAGGAATTTACCAATGAGAAACTTGAGGCACAAAGACCTTAAGTATTTGACTCAGGGTGGTGAGTGGCAGATAAAAACTGAAGACCAGCTGGGATCTACTCGAGATTCAAGATCTTGAAAGCTAGCTTATGTGGCTTACCTAGTTTAAGATGTTGGCCAGGCGCAGTGGCTCACACCTGTAATCCTGGTACTTTGGGAGGCTGAGGGGGGCAGATCACAAGGTCAGGAGTTCAAGACCAGCCTGACCAATATGGTGAAACCCCGTCTGTACTAAAAATACAAAAATTAGCCAGGTGTGGTGGTGGGCACCTGTAGTCCCAGCTACTCGGGAGGCTTAGGCAGGAGAATCGCTTGAACCCAGAGGGCAGAGGTTGCAGTGAGCCAAGATTGCACCACTGCACTCCAGCCTGGGCGACAGAGCGAGACTCCGTCTCAAACAACAACAACAACAACAAAGATGCAGGGGATTTTTAAAAAAACAACAGCAAAAACCCAATTTCCAGTTTAGGTTCTGTTGTGATAGCTGTGCTGTGAGGCCTGGCATCTAGCCTCTGACCAGACTTCACCATCCTTGCCAGATCCCGGAGAGCTTGTCCACTGCAACAGTGCAACACGCTAAGGGCTGTGTGGCGGCACAGGGGCTCTGAGCTCCTGACCTGAGTCATGGGGACCTGAAGGCTGACACCCAGCCCTATACCTACAAGCTGGGTGAGACCCCTGGCAGTTGCCTACACCCCTGCTGAGACCCAGTACCTCCCTGTAAAATGGGGGAAATAATGCCTGCCTCACAGGGTTTCGATGAAGGGTGAGTGAAATAAGGTATGTAGTGTCTGACGTGCTTAGATGCCCCAGACGCAATAGCTACTATGGTTTTTAGTATAATTATTTTGGGGGAGGAATGAAGTCATAGAGGAAACCTAACACCCCAAGCTTTCTGCTGACTGTTGAGGCACCGTAATGGGCATTTTACACAACCTCCAGCAGGGCCGCCCAGCCAGCGTTTCTGAGGGTGCACGCTTCCCCAGCTGGCCTGGCTCTGTCACGTGGCTTCTGCTCTGCCTGTCCCCATGTGGCATCCTGCCCCAGGAAGGTCCTCAAACCTGCATTTAGGGGCATTTGAGTGTATAGCTGTCCTGTCAGCCCAAGACAAGGGGAGCGAGGCCAAGGCATGAGCCTTCTCAGGGTGGTTTTCAGTACCCCCCCCAGCCAAGAAGCAGATGTGAGCTGCTCCCAAGTGCCCGCACTCTCCTGCTGCTGCTCCTGTCTTCTCTCTCCCTCTCTCTCTCTCTCTCTTCTTTCTCGTCCCCCTTCAGCTACCCATTTAGGGCAGAGAGGCAGTAGAGGGGCAGCTGAGGAGAGGACAGGCCTTGGTCCCTGGCTCTCGAGACCTAATTTCTTCCCCAGTACGCCACAAGTTCCAGAACTGGCCTCACTCAGATCTGAGACACGATGCAGAGACCTCTCTCTCCTCTTCTTTTTCAGGAAACATTTGGAAACCCCTTGGAGGAGATCTGCCACATGGCCTCCAGTGAACTGTAGACTCCTGCATAGCCTTCCAAAGTTCTTCATTTGGTGAATATTATGAGAAATGACACGTATGACTTTCTCCCAAATACGTGGCTTAAACCCAAAGTACAGTGAAATCAGAACTGACCACACAGAGTAATTGGGGCAAGGGAGTTATTTGTGACACAAAGCCCTCATCACTTTATAAAAGTACTTGCTACTGATTACATTGAAAACCAGTCTTCCTGAGTAAAACATGTTTTTTGTTTTGTATCGTTTTTGTTTTTGTTTTTTTGAGACAGAGTCTCACTCTTTGACCCAGGCTGGAGTGCAGTGGTGCGAACTTGGCTCTCCGCAACCTCTGCCTTCTGGGTTCAAGCGATTCTCTTGCCTCAGCCTCCTGAGTAGCTGGGATTACAGGTGCCCGTCACCACGCCAGGCTAATTTTTTTGTATTTTTAGTAGAGGCGAGGTTTTGCCATGTTGGCCAGGTTGATCTTGAACTCCTGACCTCAGATGATCCACATGCCTGGGCCTCCCAAAGTGCTGGGGTTAGAGGCATTAAGGGAGGAGACCACCCCTCATATTGTCTTATGCCCAATTTCTGCCTCCAAAGAAAGAAAAAGTAAAAACTGAAAGGCAGAAATGAAATCCACAAGCAGACAGCCCGGTGCCACACCCTGGGCAGATCGACCCCTGACCTAATCGGTTATGTTATCGATTACAGACATTGGATAGAAAAGCACTGTGAAAATCCCTATCCTGTTTTGTTCAGATCGAATTACCGGTGCATGCAGCCCCCAGACACGTACCCTCTGCTTGCTCAATCGATCACGACCCTCTCACACGCACCCCCTTAGAGTTGTGAGCCCTTAAAAGGGACAGGAATTGCTCACTCGGGGAGCTTGGCTCTTGAGACAGGAGTCTTGCCAATGCCCCCAGCCGAATAAACCCCTTCCTTCTTTAACTCGGAGTCTGAGGAGTTTTGTCTGCAGCTCATCCTGCTACATTTCTTGGTTCCCTGACCAGGAAGCGAGGTGACTGGCACATGGTCGAGGCAGCTGCTTAGGCAGCTTAAGCATGCCCTGTGAAACATCCCTGTGGGGGACTCCGACCAGCCCAGGCAACGCGGATCCTGAGAACGCTCCCGGGTAGGCATCTGCCCCTGTGGGATGCCTCACCAGAGCAGTGTGTGGCAGGCCCCCGTGGAGGACCAACACAGTGGCTGAACACCGGGAAGGAACAGGATCTTGGAGTCTGGACATCTAAAACTTGGTAAGACTAGTCTCGAGAACTTGCCCACTCCATTTGAGTGGAAGCGTGGCCTGATCACCCATGACATGCATTTATCAGCACTTTGGTTTTGGTTTTGGTTTTGGTTTTGACTTGGTTTGAATTGCTTGACAGGACAGGTATTGGAAACTTGCCCACTCCATTTGAGTGGACGCGTGGCCTGATCACCCATGGTGTGCCTGTACCGGCACTTCGGTTTTTGTTTTTGACTTGACTTGGATTCCTTGATACTTTGGTTTTGGTTTTGACCTGTCTTGGATTTCTGGACACTCTGATTTTGGTTTTGATTTTGGTTTGATGCAAACTGCAAAAGTGTGTGTGTGCCCTTTTTACCTGTTCTTTGTTTTGTGGTGTGCTTGTGGTGTGAGCATGGTGTTTTGTCTCAAGGAAGCATAGGTCAGGCACAAATAAGCCCACCCTACTAGGAACTACGGTGAAAAATTTCAAAAAAGAGTTTAAGGGAGACTATGGAGTACGGTGACACCAGGAAAACTTAAAACTTTCTGTAAGACAGACTGGCCAGCATTAGAGGTAGGTTGGCCATTAGAAGGGAGCCCGGACAGGTCCCTTGTTTCAAAGCTATGGCACAAGGTAACCTGTAAGCCAGGGAACCCAGACCAGTTCCCGTACATAGACACTTGGTTACAGCTGGTTTTAGACCCCCCGCCCCTAACACAGAGTGGTGGAGAGAACAGCAGAATAAGCGCCTGGCAGAGGCAAGGAAAGACCAACAGAGAGAGAGAAAGGAAAGAGACAGACAGGAAAAGAGGCAAAGAGAGAGAGGAAGAGACAGAGAGGAAGAGAAAAAAAAAGAGAGAGTCAAGGAGAGAGAGAGAGAGAAAGAGAGAGGCAGAGAGAGAGGAAGAGACAGGCAAAAGGAAAGTCAGAGAGAGACAAAGTCAAAGAGAGAAAGAAAGAAAGAGATATACAAGTAGTTAAGAAAAAAAAAGTGTACCCTATTCCTTTAAAAGCCAATGCAAATTTAAAACCTATAATTGATAATTGAAGATATTCTCCATAACCCTATAACACTCCAATACCACTTTGTTGTCAGTGTAAACAAGGGCATATCCCGAAAGCACTGAGGGCTTCCTATCAAAAATCCTTAACCCGGTAACCCGCAGATGGACCAAATGCATTCAATCTGTAGCAGCAACTGCTTTGCTAACAAAAAAAAAAAAGTAAAAAAAATAACTTTTAGAGGAAACCTCATTGTGAGCACACCTCACCAGTTCAGAAGTATCCTAAGGAAAAAAAAAGGGAAAAAAAGGGGGGGCAGAATTTATATAAAAAGAGTATTATATGGTAAATTCTTGTCCTGAAATAAATTAACTGGTTGTTTAAAGAAAGAAATATTTGTAATAAGTCAGAAAGTTGAGGCATGTCGAAGAATTGTCTGCAAAAGTCATGAAAGAGAAAAATGTTATAAAAAAGAATTTATGCAAATAATGTTGTATAATTTAAAAGTAACTAGGCCTCCTGAATGTAAAACTATTTTAAAAAAACAGTTTATGTGCAAGGTGTATCAGAAAAGTAAAATATACCTTTAGTAAAAGGATTATAAGGAGGCATAAGAATGCACATTTTTACCTACATTAAAAAGTTTTTAAAAAATTATTGTTTTGAAGATTTAAGCAAGTTTTAAAACGTTAATTGTAAAGAAAATTCTGTGTGTAAACATATTAGCTAAAGTTAAAGAAGTATCATCCAGTTTTTCTGTGAACTGGACATTAAAGTAAAAGCATAACAGGTTTTTCTTAAAGCACCAACCTGCTCTTTCACAAAAATTATAAAAGGTTAAAAAGAGTCTATAAAATCTTACCTTATGGTCAAACATTAAAAATTAGATAAATATGTCTACAAGGTTTTATTAAAATTAGGTTTAACATTACTAACACACTAATATAAAGATAAAATTTAGCTTATCTGGTATAAAAATCATATGAGAAGCATTGTTAAATGTAAAATGGTATTTGGCTTTCTTTGTTTTAAAAACTAATAAAAATAGATGCTAAAGGAAATTTCTCAGTTAAAAGGCACTAAGGACTATAAAGTCCACTGCCAAGGTCCCCACATATAAAACAAAAGGTCAGTTTCTTAAAAATTATATACTTGGTTTATCTTCCACTTTCCTTTCTCTCAAAAACTAAAAGTCTTTTAGCACATGTACCACCCCTAGAATTTCTGGTAAACCAGCACCAGCCTGAAGATCACGTTCTCATCAAACGGTGGAAAGAAGAAAAACTCGAGCCAACCTAGGAAGGACCCCACCTTGTGCTGCTAACCACCAAGACTGCTGTTTGTACAGAAAAAAAAAAAAAAAAAAAAAAAAAGGATGGACTCATCACACCCGAGTCAAGAAAGTGCCACCTCCTCCAGAGTCATGGGCCATAGTCCCAGGGGAAAACCCTACCAAACAAAAGCTAAGAAAAATTTAACTCTTTTCCTCTATTCTATTACTCTTTCTTCTTTCCTCGTTCTATTGCTGACCATCTAGTTATTAACATAACCAAGTCAATTTCGCCTCAAACTATTGCATTTAATGCTTGCCTTGTTATACCCTGTGGGGACTTGCCAAGTCAAAGACAGCTTTCTTCTTCAGAAAAGTACTTCTGTCCCTCCTGACTCTCCTCAGACTGGGAATTAGTAAACTGAACCATTTAATCCCGGGAGATTTCGATAAAGACCCCAGTGCCAACCAGGAGTCTTGCCCCCTGATGTGCAGCTTGCATGTCATAGTTGGACCAACGTTCTGTGGACCACTACAGAACAAGGATGGACTGCCCCAACCGGTTTTTGTAATTTCCTAAAACCATACATTCATTTTACTAGAGGATCATAGCAGTTAAAGACTTAAAACAAACTTTAGCAATTAAGACGGGATACCAAGATGCAACTGCCTGGTTAAAATGGATCAAATATTCCATCTGCATGTTAAACAAAAGCAATTGTTATGCTTGCGCACATGGCAGGCCAGAGACCCAGACTGTCCCCTTTCCACTAAGGTGGTCCTCCGTCGACCAGGTGTGGGCTGCATGGTAGCTCTTTTCCAGGATTCTACAGCATGGAATAATAAGTCATGCCAAGCTCTCTCTGCTATATCCCAAAGTCAGGCACCCTGCAGGTCAGCCCCCAAGGGCCATCCAGCTTCCGTCCCCCAACACTAAGTTCACTTCGTGTTTCTCACGACAGGGAGGAAACAGCATTCCTTGGAGACCTAAAGGGATGCAGTGAGCTTAAGAATTTTCAAGAGCTTATCAATCAGTCAGCCCTTGTTCATCCCCGAGTGGATGTGTGGTGGTATTGTGGTGGACCTTTACTGGGCACTCTGCCGAATAACTGGAGGGGCACTTGTACTTTAGTCCAGTTGACTATCCCTTTCACCCTGGCATTTCATCAACCAGAAGGAAAAAAAATAAGACATCATAAAGTGAGAGAAGCCTCCTATGGGTCTTTCGACTCTCATATCTATTTAGACACAATTGGAGTCTCACGAGGAACAGCAGATCAATTTAAAGCTTGAAATCAAATAGCTGCAGGATTTGAGTCAATATTTTAGTAGGTGACAGTTAATAAAAATGTAGATTATATAAACTACATCTATTACAACCAACAGCAATGAGCTTTTCATGAGTTAAAAAAAACTCATGTCAGCCCCAGCCCTGGGGCTACCTGACCTGACAAAACTCTTTGAACTCTATGTGTCAGAGAAAAAATGGCAGTTGGAGTTTTAACCCAGACTATGGGGCCCTGGCCAAGGCCAGTGGCCTATCTCTCAAAACAACTAGACAGGGTTTCCAGAGTCCAGCCCCCAGATCTAAGGGCCTTAGCAGCAACAGCCCTGTTAGCACAAGAAGCAGATAAACTAACCCTTAGGCAAAACCTGAATATAAAGGCCCCCTTGCTGTGGTAACTTTAATGACTACCAAAGGACATCATTGGTTAACAAATACTAGATTAACCAAGTATCAAAGCTTAAAATCCCCACATAACCATTGAAGTTTGCAACACCCTAAATCCCACCACCTTGCTCCCGGTATCAGAGAGCCCAGTTGAACATAACTGTGTAGAAGCGTTAGACTCAGTTAGACTCTAGCAGGACCAACCTCTGAGACCATCCTTAAACATCAGTAGACTGTGAGCGGTACGTGGACGGGAGCAGCTTCGCCAACCCCTGCAAAGTGACTCTGAAGAAGATGACAAGCCCTGCTCCAGTCACACCCGGAAGCTGACTGGTCCACGCACGGCCGAAGCATGAGAAAACTCATCACGGGACTCATTTTCCTTAAAATTTGGACTTTTACAGTAAGGACTTCAACTGACCTTCCTCAGGCTGAGGGCTGTTCCCAGTGTATGCATCAAGTCACTGAGGTAGGACAAAAGGTTGCTACGGTCCTATTATTTTATGGTTATTATAAGTGTACTGGAACTCTAAAAAGAACTTGTTGGTATAATGTTATTCTATACAAGGTATGTAGCCCAGGAAATGACAAACCTGATGTGTGTTATGACCCATCTGAGTCTCCCATGACCACAGTTTTTAAAATAAGATTAAAGACTGAGGACTGGTGGGGGCTTATAAACAATACGAGCAACGTGTTAGCCAAAACAGAAGAAAAAGGGGTGCCCAAAGAAGTCACCTTAAAATTTGATGCCTGTGCTGTCTTTAATAGTAATGTTAGAAATAAGGTGTGGTTCTCTTAATTAGAAAAGAGGCTATATGGCAGAAAATAAGTACATCTGTCATAAATTAGGACTGTGTAGAAATAAATGTAAATACTGGTCTTGTGTCATTTAGGCCACTTGGATTTAAAAAAAATGAAAAGGATCCAGTCCACCTTCAGAAAGGAAAAAATGGCCCTTCCTGTACTAAAGGGCAATGTAACCCCTTAGAGCTAGTAATAACCAATCCCCTTGATACTCGCTGGAAAAAAGACGAGCATGTGACCTTAGGAATCGACGGGGCCGGACTGCATCCTTGAGTAAATATCTTGGTTCGAGGAGAAGTTTACAAACGCTCTCCTGAGCCAGTGTTTCAACCTTTCTATGATGAACTAAATGTGCCAGTACCAGAAATTCCAGGAAAAACAAGAAATTTGTTTTTGCAATTAGCCGAGCATGTAGCCCAGTCTCTCAATGTCACTTCATGTTATGTATGTGGAGGAACTGTAATAGGAGATCAATGGCCATAGGAAGCCCAAGAATTAGTACCTACAGACACAGTTCCTGATGAATTCCCGGCTCAAAAGAATCACCCTGATAATTTCTAGGTCCTAAAAGGCTCAATTATTGGACAATATTGCATAGCTAAAGAAGGAAAAGAATTCACTCACCCTGTCAGATGACTTAGTTGTCTGAGACAGAAACTGTATAATGGTACCACAAAAACAGTCACTTGGTGGAGTTCAAATCACACAGAAAGAAATCCATTTAGTAAATTCCCAAAGTTGCAAACCGTGTGGACCTACCCAGAGTCACACCAGGACTGGACAGCCCCCACTGGATTATACTGGATATGTGGGCAAACAGCTTATGCCAGATTACCTGGCCAGTAGGCAGGTAGTTGTGTTATTAGCACTATTAAACCATCTTTCTTCCTACTGCCCACAAAAACAGGCGAACTCCTGGGCTTCCCTGTCTATGCTTCCCGCGAAAAGAGAAGCATAGCTATAGGAAATTGAAAAAATGATAAATGGCCCCCTGAGAGAATCATACAATATTATAGGCCTGCTACTTAGGCACAAGACAGCTCGTGAGGATACCGGACCCCCATTTACATGATCAACCGAATCATACGGTTACAAGCTGTCTTAAAAATAATCACTAGTAAAACCAGCAGAGCCTTGACTATTCTGGCCTGGCAAGAAACTCAGATGAGAAATGCTATCTATCAAAATAGATCAGCTCTCGACTACAGCTGAAGGAGAGGTCTGCAGGAAATTTAACCTTACTAATTGCTGCCTACACATAGATAATCAAGGGTAAGTAGTTGAAGACATAGTTAGAGATATGACAAAACTGGCACATGTGCCCGTACAAGTGTGGCATAGATTTGATCCTGGGGCCATGTTTGGAAAATGGTTCCCAGCACTAAGAGGATTTAAAACTCTTATAATAAGAGTTATAATAGTAATAGGAACCTGCTTACTGCTCCCTTGTTTGCTACCTGTACTTCTTCAAATGATAAAAAGCTTCATCACTACCTTAGTTCACCAAAATGCTTCAGCACAATGTACTATGTGAATCACTATCGATCTGTCTTGCAAGAAGACATGGGAAGTAAAAATGAAAGTGAGAACTCCCACTATTGAGTGAGATTCTCAAAGGGGGGGAATAAGGGAGGAGACCACCGCTCATATTGTCTTATGCCCAATTTCTGCCTCCAAAGAAAGAAAAAGTAAAAACTAAAAGACAGAAATGAAATCCACAAGCAGGCAGCCCGGCGCCACACCCTGGGCCTGGTAGTTAAAAATCGACCCCTGACCTAATTGGTTATGTTATCTATAGATTACAGACATTGGATAGAAAAGCACTGTGAAAATCCCTATCCTGTTTTGTTCCGATGTAATTACCGGTGCATGCAGCCCCCAGACACGTACCCCCCACTTGCTCAATCAATCATGCCCCTCTCATGTGCACCCCCTTAGAGTTGTGAGCCCTTAAAAGGGACAGAAATTGCTCACTCGGGGAGCTCGGCTCTTGAGACAGGAGTCTTGCCAATGCCCCCGGCCGAATAAACCCCTTCCTTCTTTAATTCAGAGTTTGAGGACTTTTGTCTGCGGCTCATCCTGCTACAGCATAAGCCGCCAAGCCCGACCATAAAACATGTTTTAAATTAGAAGATGTTCTTTGCACTTTTGTTTTTCTGGAGGAATGTCATGGTACACAGAGTGAAGACCTAACTTAAGGAGGCCTTGGAGCCTGTCAAGCATACAATGATTCAGGTCTGTACCGGGCTGTGGCACTGCCTTCACTCCCCTCCACCCTGGGCAGAGGCAGAGGGCAGGAGAATCTGGTGAGCTGAGGCCACATGTCCACCTGGTGTGGCTGGTGTGGTCCACACAGCTGGAATGATAAAAGCACCGCACTCATCCGTGCCAGGCCCGGTGCTACTCATGCTTCTCCTTCACTCTTCACCACATTCCCAGGACTGAAGCATTGGTTTATTCCCATTTTCCAAAAAAGGAAACTGAGGCTCATAGTGTTTAAGCCTCAAGCCTCAGGCCACCATGAATACTTCTCATCTGCAAAAGAGAACACCCAAATGTGCCCACCCACCCTACAGATTCTTGGAGGTCTGGCTCACTTATCTCCAAGAAAGCCCCCTCTGGACCATCCAGAAGCCACGAGATGGTAACAGTGCTTCCTCTGCAGGGGCTCTGATCGACCTTGGGTCTGCAAGGGGTAGCAGTCAGGGGTCACCTGAGCCTAGCTCAGTGGGTGTGCTCCTCACACTGCATGACCGCATGCTGTGGGTGGGCCTGTGCACATGTGTGTTTGTGCACACAGAGGAAACGAGTGTAGGCGGGGATCAAGGTCATTTTTACAAACAGAAAAGCTGCAGCATCTCCATAACTCAGCTTGTGGGCTAGACAGTCACCACAGAAAAAAGGAAGCCAGACCAAAACTGAACCACTGGACTACTGCAAGCCCGCCCCAGCAGGGAGCCAGTGCAGGACCCCTGTGAGAAATGGGAACTCTGTACTATCTTTATAGCTTTTCTATAAATCTAAAACTCTTCAAAAATAAAGCATTTATTAACAACAATGACAACAAAAGCATTGACTAAGCTCTGTGAACTGAGAATTTTGTTCTTTACCAAATGGGGATTTCTAACACATCTTTTCAAGTGGTTTGGCAGCATCTTGGAGCTTCCCATTGCTAACAGCGTGCTAATGACAACTGCCCTTAAAGGAGGCCTCCTGCAGAGCGCCCGCTGCCCCCGTGACCCTCCTCCAGCTGTCTGTGAGATAAGAGTAGTGATAACATAGCTGCTCTTGGAGGAGCATTGTGTGACGGCCAAGGCCCAGAGGCCCCGAAGAGGAGGCACTGTTACCATCTCTATTTTACAGATGAGGAAACCCAGGCTCTAGAGGGTGAGAAAATGCCAGAGCTGGACCTACAGTTCTGCCTGATTCCAAAGTTCAAATCTTAACCACTGCTAAAGAAATAAAGCGGTATATATACATATATACATATACACACACACACATACATACATACATACATATGTATATATATATATATACACACACATATACATGCATACATATATATATATATATATATATTTTTTTTTTAATTGAGACACGGTCTCACTCTGTTGCCCAGGCTGGAGTGCAATGGTGCAATCATAGTTCACTGCAGCCTCAAACTCCTATACTCAAGCAATCCTCCCACTTCAGCCTCCTGAATAATTGTGATCACAGGCACACACCACCATGCCCAGCTAACTTTTTATTTTATTTTATTTTTGTAGAGGCAGGCTCTCGTTATGTTGCCCAGGCTGGACTCAAACTCGTGAGCTCAAGCAATGCTTCTACCTTGGCCTCTCAGAGTGCTGGGATTACAGGTGTGAGCCACCATGCCTGGCCTCATATATTTTATAAATATGAAGGCTCTCTGTACCTCATCCCAAAGGGTGTGGTTTATTACCATCTCTCAGGATTTTACACACTCAGGAAACCCACATACTTCGAGTTCTAGGAACCAAACCCATAGGCCAGAATATGGCTGCCCTCCAAAAAGTACTGTGTGCAGTCTTTGTTGTGAAGTGCCTTCTCAGGGTGGCCCCAAGGTTTTCCCAGACTCTTCCATATTGGTGAGGTTCTGTGTGTCTCCAGGGCTGTCAGAGCCCTCATGCCTCAGCCATCCCTGTAAGGGCAGGAGGACAGGCACAGACAGGTAGACACTGACTCCCTTTCTACCTAGGTCACATGGCACATGGCAGGGCAGACAGGACCACATCCAGACCAGGGCTGTGGTCACCAGGGAAGTCCATTAAACCACTGCATTATGTGACATTCTCTAGAAGGCACCTGGGCAGGGAGGCCAGGGCAACTTAGGTTTAGGGCCAGGTTAACTGCCATGGCTTTTGGGGAGAGAAAGTGACCTAAAATATATAGATACAGGAATTTAATACAAATATGACAGCACACACTTGAATATGATTTGTAGGTTCTGACAACTCAGATGAACCTGGCTTTTCATGAAATCAGCGCTAACCAAAGCGGGCATGTATAGCAATGGGAGCCCTTTCCTTCATCCCAACCTAGATCATTCCCTAATCCCTTTTCTATCCCATCCCACTCAGAACTCAGCTCTCAAGAAGCTCAGTTTCATGATGACCTTGAATTTAATCTACCTTCCCTCGGTGCTTTAAGAGTATTTTTTCTACACTAGATTGATTTACAATGCCTTGTTTGTTTCTTTGTAAGCATTCTTGAGCCTTTCTCAGGCGTCTATGTCAAGGCTTTACCTAAACTAATTGTATTGGGCCACAGCTGTGCACAGGGTAACCAAGAATTCTGGTCTCCCTGGGACCATCCCAGGTTTCAAGTCTGGGCAAACCTCTCAGCCCCAAGAAAACCAAGAGGGTTGGTCAGCTTAGCTATGAAGCTCCTCTTCAGAAGCCTTTCCAGCTGGTCATAGCTAGAGCAGTATTGTCAGTAAGTGGTGTAGACCCTCACATGTGGTCCTTGGAGAGCAACAAGGTGTCCCCTGGGAGCTTATTAGACATGCAGACTCTCAGGCCCCACCCGGCCCTGCTCATCAGAATCTGCTCTTCAGCACAGTCCCTGGGGGCTCCTATGCTTGTCACAGTGGAGAACAGCTGTGCTGGTGGGGAGACTTCCTGCTGAGAAACACAGTGTGGATGACATCTGCTTTTGAGGCACACTTCCAGGGGAGTCCCCCATTTGAACTTAGCCCAAAGCTTTTGGGAAGCCAGTAAAGCACTAGACTAGACCAATTTGAAACCATCCTAACTGGGGCAGAGATCAGTGATAGTCTCCAACAAGGCTCAGGAGGGCTGCAGGCATGTAGGGCACCCAGCAGAGCCCCCACACAGGCCTTTTCTCTCTGAGAATGCAAGGGAAAGAGAGGAATGGCCTCATATCTGCTCTAATTATACATACATATATATATATGTGTGTGTGTGTATCTCTATATATACACATTATATTATATATATACATTATATTTTTTATATGTGTGTGTATATATATATATATATATATATATGAAATTTTTTTTTTTTGAGACAAGATCTCAGTGTTGCCTAGGCTGGAGTGCTGTGGAGCAATCACAGCTCACTGCAGCCTTGACCTCCAGGCTCAAGCAATCCTCCCACCTCAGCCTCTCCAGTAGCTGGGACTACAGGCACTCGTTGCTAGGCCTGGCTAATTCGCTTTTATTTTTAGTAGCGACGGGGTCTCACCATGTTGCCCAGACTGGTCTCAAGCTCCAGAGCTCAAGTGATCCTCCTGCCTCAGCCTCCCAGAGTGCTGGGATTACAGGCGTGAGCCACTGCCACGGGCCTCTAATTTGCATATAATGACAAATGATTCACAGGTGTTGGCACCTTAACTATTGTTAGCTAGAAGTTATTTTTGACACCTCATTTCTGATCTTAATACCCTGCAGTTCTCAACTTGGGTGTTTATCAGAAGCTCTATAGAGCTTGTTGTTGTTGTTTTAAAATGCCTGGGGCACACCTCATACTTCCTGATTCAGGGTCTGTGGTGAGGGTCCAGGTTTCTGTAATTTGGGGATGTCCCCGGGTGGTTCTGAGGGGCACCCAGGGACAAGGCCACCAGGAGAGGATCCTGCGCCGCGTTCAGCCCTGGCCTCTCGCTGCCATGCTGCCTGTAACCAGGTGGGGGCGCCCTCTCCCTCCTGGAGCTGAAGGGACAGCGCCGCCGCTCACCTACCTGGACCCGCACGCTCTTTTTTGCAGAGGGAGGGAGGTGTGGTTTATGAGTCTGGACTCCGGAGAACTCAAACCCTCGGGAGGCCTAGAGACTGCGCAGTGTCCGGATATAGAAATATTGACCCCGTTACTGAAACAGTAACAGCAGACTGCAGCTTTTCATGCACAGAGATGTTCCCGAAGGTGCCACGGGGCCTGTTGGCCCAGGCCTGGGAGTGCTTTCTCAGAGCCCTTCACTCTGCACTTCAGTTTCCGCCCCCCGCCCCCCGTCCCCCGCCCGCTATGACTTGACTTTGAGAAGAGCTCAGGTGAGGTGAAGGCTCAGTGCAGGACTGTGGGACTTTTTCTCATAAAGTGTCATGAAAGCTCCTCCTAGGAGCCTTTGTGGACACAGCCTCCCCTACGGTGCCCTTGGGGCTTTAGAGGTGAGCTTCCAGGGGCCGGGCGACCCGCACTCCCTTCCCTCTAGACCAGATGGAACTGAAGGCGCTGCGGCTGAGGAGCTGCCTGTGGAGCACAGAGCGGGGCACAGCGACAGAGAGGGCAGGCAGGGGGCCTGGCTCCAGCCCCGGCTTCCTAGGAAGTTGTGACCCTACGGCCCTCTCGGGACTCAGCTGTCCTTTCCATGTAGGATGGGTTGGTGCAGGTGATCTCCGCCTTGTGCTCTGGCTTCAGCAAGCCGTGATTCCCCGAGTGCTTTCATGTGGAGAAGGGTCCCTGTCCGCTAATGCCCCGGCAGAGAATACACGCAGGGCACATGCGTGCAAACAGACTTAGGACCCAGGTTCTGAGGAGTACGTTCCGGAAAGCTCATCTGCCCTTCTTCCCTGCTGGAGGCACAGGCCACTCCCACCCCAGCAATGGTCCCAACACTGGGGACTCTCACCCATCAATGTCCTTGATGTGCCAGGCACTGTGCAAACTCTTTGCACATGAATCTCACTCCACCCTTCCCACAACTCCATGAGGAAGTATCACTATCCCCATTTTGTTTTATCTTAGTTTTAGAAGACAATTTTTATGTCAGTTTAAGCTATCAAATGTACCAGGTCTGCTGAAATGTATAATTTTTGCCTTTTTCCCTGTTGGACTAAAATAGGGCCAATTGTGTCACCATTTGGCTTATAAAGTATCAAGCATTTTTCCATTAAGAATGAACAGATCACCGGGTGTGGTGGCTCATGACTGTAATCCCAGCACTTTGGGAGGCAGAGGTGGGCGGATCACAAGGTCAGGAGTTCGAGACCAGCCTGGCCAATATGGTGAAGCCCTGTCTCTACTAAAAATACAACAATTTGCCGGGCATGGTGGCGTGCACCAGTAGTCCCAGCTACTCGGGAGGCTGAGGCAGAAGAATTGCTTGAACCTGGAAGGCAGAGATTACAGTGAGCCCAGATCGCGCCACTGCACTTCAGCCTGGGTGACAGAGCAAGACCCTGTCTCAATAAGAAAAGAAAGAAAGAAGGAAGGAAGGAAGGAAGGAAGGAAGGAAGGAAGGAAGGAAGGAAAGAAGAAGAAGAAAAAAGAAAAGAAAAGAAAAAAAGAATGAACAGATCTCCCCAGCACTTTGGGAGGCCCAGGCAGGAGAATCGCTTGACCCCAGGAGTCCGAGACCAATCTGGGCAACATAGTGAGACCCTGTCTCTACAAAAAAAGTTTAAAATTAGCTGGATGGGGTAGCACATGCCTGTGGTCCCAGCTACTCAGGGGAGCTGAGGAAGGAGGATCTCTTGAGCCTAGAAGGTCCAGGCTGCAGTGAGCCAAGATTGCACCACTGCACGGCACTCCAGCCTGAGAGATAGATCGAGACTCTGTCTCAAAAAAAAAAAAAAAAAAAAAAAAAAGATGAACAGATCTCAAGGTGGGACCAAATTAAGATTGGATTTTAAATCATCACCAAGTATTTAACACCTCTTTATCACATAACTGATTACCCTTAGAGGAAACTGAACTCTTCTAGAACATCAGTTACAGGCATGATTCAGTGTGACAGTGCATCGCAAAACAATGAATTCTAGGGTTTTTTGGTTGGGTTTGGTTGTTTGGCTGGTTGGTTTTTGTTTAGTTTTGTTTAGTTTTGTTTTGTGGGATTGGTTGTTTTGTCTGGTTTTGTTTGTCAAAAATTCTGGACATAAATGGCTCAAGATTTTGCTTAAAACTGCTGGAGCATCATCAATATATATTATTTCAAACTGCACCCTCACCTGCCCCACCCACCCTTCAGCCTCTGGGAATGGGAGTTGGGTGCTGGATTTTGAGGTCTGTGAAAACTCTTGAACAGTGAGATCTGATGAGCTTCTAGACTACAGAACACATGGAGGTGCTGGAGGGTGGGTGCCCAGAGAGGACGTGGAAGCCCTACCCCCTGCCCCACCCCTACCTCGCCCTATCCATCTCCCATCTAACTGTTCCTGAGTTGTGTCCTTTATAATAAGCTGGTAAATGTAGTGTTTCTCTGAGATCTGTGGGCCATTGAATCTGTGGGCCATTCTAGCAAATTATTGAGCCCAAGGGAGGGGGCCATTGGAACCGCTAACTTATAGCTGTTTGGTCAGAAATACCTGAGACCCAGACTTGCCATTGGCATCTGCAATGGGGGCAGTCTGGTGGGACTGAGCCCTGAAAGTGTGGGATCTGACAGGAGCTGCAGCTTGATAGTGTCAGAATTAAATTGTAGGACACCCAGTTGGTGTTGGAGAATTGGTCACTGGGGGAAATAACCCAGACCTCTGGTGTCAGAAATGTTGTGTGGGTGTAAAGAAACTGTTTTTCTCATCTACCCAAGACCTTGTTTTCTGGCTAACTCCTACTTGACCTTCAAAACCCAACTCACGGCTCACCTCCTGGGGATCCTTCCCTGATCCCCAAGGTGCGAGGTAGGTGGTGCTCTTACGTGTGTTCCCTGAGCACAAGCACATGTACTTACCTCTGTCAAAGCACGGAAGACACTAAATGGCCATGATCAATTTTTTTTTTTCTCTCTGAGTCTTAGAGAGCAAGACTGTGTCTTAGACAACTTGGGATCCCAACACCTGGAACACAGCTTGGCACATCACAAATGGGTAGTTTTGGTTTGTCAGTTCGATTACCTTGTATAGAGCCAGCGCTTGGAATAGCATGAGGTGTGGAAAGGAGCTGACGTGCTCACCTCATCAGTAAGGCGGCACAGCATGCTGGCACTAGTATGGGCTTTGCAAACAGTCAGACTTGGGTCCAAATCTCTGCTTTACCATAACTCACTAGTTGTGTGCCTCTGGGCAAGTGTTTTAACCTCTCTGAACTTCAGTTGTCTGGACAAGCAACCAGGCGAGTGAATAATGTAACTTGCGATAAGGAGGAGGGAGGAGCAGGTCTGGGGAGGAGGATGTCATTCCTGCAGCCTTCTGACTGGAAACTCCTGTAGACAATGGATAGATGATCTGGGAAGAAGACATTAGAGATCTGGGGTCACCAACAGGTAATGACAGTGGAAGCCACAGAGGTGAGTGAGGAGGAGGTGTCTGGAGGGGCAGGTGGAGGGGAGCCTGCAGGGTAGAGTGAGGTGAGCAGAGGGTCACAGGCGGACAGTCACCAGCGAAACAGAGTGTGCGGGGAGGGGGTCTCTATCTTCATGACTTTGCCAAGCTCCTATTCTGATGAATCTGAAACCAGCTAAATTCTGCAACATTCATTAAATGAGGAATCTAAAATAGCTCTCCAATAAATGATTTATGTAATTATTGGCTGCTGCTTTCATTAGGAGCTGTTGTTAACAGTGTTAAAAGTGAGGGTTTTTTTTAGCCTAATTGAATGAGAAAGAAAATTAGAATAGAGGAGCAAATTAGAGGTGTCCTCTTCTCCCCGCAATCCTGTGCAAGTATAAACACTGCCCACTGTGATTGTCTTGGAAGGAAGAGATGGGGGGTGGTGAAAGGGACTGAAATAGGGCCCCTAGGGCATGAGGAAAGATAGGTACCAGACAGCAGCAGCTCAACCTGGCCCAGCTGGGTCCATTTCCCAGAAATGACCTTCCTTTCTTTCTGTGCCAAATGAAAGAGGTAGTGGCGGGGTAGGGGGGAGGGGGTTATAATTTGTACCCACGATGGGACAGGCCCAGAAAGGGAAGTCCAAAATTGGAGGAGAAGCCATTCCTCTGGCCACTTTTGCTCTCGCCACGAGTGCAGCAAGCAAGGCTCTCTGAGGCAGCCTCCTCGGAGGACAGCTGTGTCCAGGACCTGCAGCACCTGAGCCAGGGGGCTTTACCTGGCCCCTCAGGCCCTCAGTCCTTATCTACCTGTCCAGGGAACAGCTGCAGCTGCATAAAAATTCCTGGGTGTGCGCCACTGCACTCCAGCCTGGGTGACAGAGCGAGACCCCATCTCAAAAAAAAAATAAAATTTCCCACAGTAAATGCGCTGCCTGGGACACATAGTCCCTGCTCACACAGCCTAAAGGTAAAGAGCTATGGAGAACAGGAGCCTCCCACGACCTTCTCAGCAGGCCTCACAGGTCACAGCTTCCCACTGCTTCCAACACAGCTTCCTAACAGACGAAAAGCCATTCAACAGAAGGCCTCCAGAAACTAAGGGAAAAGACCTATGTTTGTAAATTTTGCCTAGAAGCACAACTACTAACTATACCTCTGTTATGGGTTGAATTTTGTCCCTCAGAAAAGATATGTTGGAATCCTAGCCCTCAGTACTTCTCAATATGACTTTTATTTGGAAATAGGGTCTTTGCAGATGTATTTAGTTAAGATGAGATCATATTGGAATAGGATAGGCCCCTAATCCAATATGACTGGTGTCCTTATGAAAAGGAGAAATTTGGCTACAGACACACACACACACACACACAACCCCATGTAAAGATGAAGACAGATTGAGATGATTCGTCTCCAAGCCAAGGAACTCCAAAGATTTGCCTGCAAACCACCAAAAGCTAGGGGAGAGGACTGGAGCAGATTTCTCCCTCACAGCCCGCAGAGGGAACCCACGCTGCTGACACCTTGATCTTGGACTTCCAGCCTCTTGGACTGTGAAACGCTAAAGGTCTGTTATGTAAACCTCCCATTCCATTCTGTGCTACTATGTTACTGCAATCCAAGCAAACGAATGCATCTCTGTCCAGATTACTGTGTGGGCAGGACGCAGAGCGTTACACCTTTCACACCTGTGAAAAGGGGGCCTCTTTCAGAAGGAAGGAGGGGAAGCTGAGTTTCCCAGCTTCCCCTTGTGGTTTCTCTATCCAGCCAAATTTTGCAGCTGCTCCCAGCAAGTCACATGTGTCCCTACTCCACGATCTGCCCGTGACTGGCTCTGCACTTGTTTATTCACTTACTCATATTTCTTTGTCCACCTGTGCATTTGTTTTTTCGTTCACCCAACACATTCTCTTGCCCACACCTGTATGCCAGCTGCTGGTCCAGTTGCTGGGCACACAGCGCGAACAAGACAGAAAAGAGCCATGTCCTTGCGGAATATTCATTACAGTGGGAGGAAAGGTCACTGATTAAACAATACTGACATCAGCGTAAAATGACAATGGTGGTTAAGTGCTGCCCATGACAGCAAGTGGATGCAAGAGCAATTAGCTGGCTGTCTTCATCGCCCAGCTAACCCTGACTTTGCCTCTGGCCTGTTTGTGAAGCCTGTGCTTCCATGTGAGGACAAAGACCACTCAGGTGTAGAAGAGCCTCATTGTGCTGTTAAGTGTTCTGCCGGTTGCAAAACATGCATCTTGAGCACAGATGTGAGCATTAGTTTGTGCCTGTCCCCACTGCAGCAGTGTTTTTGGCAGATGACTGAGGGATGCTCTGGCTGAAGTGGCAGGGATGCATGACACCCTTTAGGGAGTGGATTTCCTGGATAAAGACCAAACAGTGATAACACTAGAGGGTTGTAAAAGCCCCAGGTGGTCTCTGCAGGAAGCTTGGGACCCCAAGTGTAGTGCAGCACAGTGCTCTCAAAGGGTGGGTGCCAGACCAGCAGTACTGCCTGAGCTTTTAAGAAAGGCGAATCTGGCCCCATGCAGACCTAATGATTCAGGAACTGGGAGGGCTCAGCAGGTGGCTTCACCATGCCCTCTGGGGGCCACTGATGCAGGATGCTGATGCTCCTGGAAGTTGAGAAGCCTGGGACAGGGTACAAACATGGCTCTGGGGATAAGCAGACTCCAGTTTAAGAACTGGCCTTCCACTTACTGAGGCTTAGTTCTCTTATCTTTTTTTTTTTTTTGAGACGGCGTCTCGCTGTGTTGCCCAGTCACCCAGGCTGGAGTGTAGTTGCATGATCTCAACTCACTGCAACCTCTGCCTCCTGGACTCAAGCAATTCTCCTGCTTCAGCCTCCCAAGTAGCTGGGATCACAGGCGCGCTACCACACCCAGCTGATTTTTGTCTTTTTAGTAGAGACAGAGTTTCACCTTGTTGGCCAAGTTGGTCTCGAACTCTTGACCTCAAATGATCCACCCACCTGGACCTCCCAAAGTGCTGGGATTACAGGCATGAGCCACTGTTCCGGGTCCATTTCTCTTATCTTTAATAAGGACATAAAAATAGCACCTAACTTCTAGTACTGACTTCTAAAATTGCAAAGATTACATTAGGTAATGCATGTCAAGTGCCTGGGACCTAGTACAAGTTCCATAAACATTAGCTAGTTATTATTTTATTAGAATGATAATTCTCCTGTGTGCTTATGGAGAACAGGCCTACTTAGCCTAAACATTGGAGCATTAGGAGGTTATCAAGCAAACCTCAGTATAACCATAGCCCTTTCTTGAGCTGGCTGCCTGCCTGGCCCTGTGCTCTCTGCCCACCAAGCAGAACTGGTGAGGCCGGAGATGCTTCCTGGCTCAGCACCTCCTTAGCCCGAGGGCTTATAGGACAAGAGTTGTCAGGAATCTGGGCCTCAACTTGCTCCAGGAACTGCAACCTACGATCAGGCTACATTTGCAAACTGTCATCACAACACCAGACAGTTCAAAATCAGTGCCTCATGCATGATCTAAACAAGGGTGTTGGCTTTGTGGGGAGAAGAGGGCACAGGAGAGTGACGTGCTAAATAGGTATGTGTGAAGGGCAGAGTGCCATAGAGTTTTCCATGGAAGAGCCTCAGCACTCCAGGGATTCATGTGCCAGAAAAGCCGAGTGTGTCTTGCCTCTTTGACTTCTTGATTCGTTTGTCCCTTTAAGCATCCCTATTTGTTTACCCAAATAGGAGGTTGCTCTAAGCTGTAATAAAGCTCTCAGCTGTGCCACTGCAGAGGACAGCTGCACAGGCAGGTCAGAAAGGCCAAGGGAGGCTTGCAAATGCACTGAGCTAATTTCCAGAACATGCACATTCTGTCCACCCCACTCCTCTGTACTGAAGTTTTAACTGAGTGATACTGGAGGAATCCTCCTGTGTCTATAAGACTTCCAGGGCCTACAGGGCTCAGTGGCTCATGCCTGCAATCCCAGAACTTTGGGAGGCTGAGGCAGGTGGGTCACATGAGGACAGAAGTTTGAGACCAGCCTGGGCAACATGGCGAAACCCTGTCTCTGCTAAAAATACAAAAATTAGCTGGGCATTGTGGTGCACATCTGTGATCCCAGCTACTCAGAAGGCTGAGGCAGGAGAATTGCTTGAACCTGGGAGGTGGAGGTTGTAGTGAGCTGAGATCACGCCACTGCACTCCAGCCTGTGTGATAGAGAGAGACTGTCTCAAAAAAAAAAAAAAAAAAGACTTCCAGGGCTGGTTGCATGGTGCAACTGACTCACGGACACACCTGCTTCCCCCACTTGGGGCCCAGGCACAGCCTTGTCAGAGGACACAGAAATGGGTTTTCCTCAGCACCTTCTAAGAATTCCCTGGGAGGTTGTCAAGTTGTTGGGACAACATATCGGGTTCTCAGGTTCATCCTGTCCCAAAGGAGGAGACACAGACCAGTTTGGAGACGTCTTAGTCTGTGTTGTGCTGCTATAACAGAATACCTGAGACTGGGTACTTTATAAAGAACAGAGGTCTTACGGTTCTGCAGGCTGGGAAGTCAGAGGCGTGTGAACCAGAACAACTCCATCTTGAATAGGAGCTGGGTAAAATGAGGCTGACATCTACTGGGCTGCATTCTCAGATGGTTAAGGCATTCTAAGTCACAGGATGAGATAGGAGGTCAGTACAAATGCAGGTTATAAAGACCTTGCTGATAAAACAGGTTGCAGTACAAGAGCCAGCCAAAACCTGCCAAAACCAAAATGGCAACGGGAGTGACCTCTGGTCGTCCTCACTGCTGCACTCCTACCAGCACCATGACAGTTTACAAATGCCATGGCAACATCAGGAAGTTACCCTATATGGTCTAAAAAGGGGAGGCATGAATAATCCACCCCTTGTTTAGCATATCATCAAGAAATAACCATAAAAATGGGCAACCAGCACCCCTCAGGGCTGCTCTGTCTATGGAGTAACCATTCTTTTATTCCTTTACTTTCTTAATAAACTTGCTTTCACTTTGCACTGCGGACTCGCCCTGAATTCTTTCTTGCGTGAAATCCAAGAACCCTCTCTTGGGGTCTGGATCGATACCCCCTTCTGGTAAGATGTTTCTGGTGACCACAGAAGCGACTATACAGCAGAAACCCCCGACCCAAAGGCTGACTTGGGGTAAGTGGTGGGGTCCAATAACATCTTTCTCTTGGACCACAAAGGGGACAATACTGAGGAGACCCCCGACCCAAAGGAAATAGACTGTTGCACTGATTGGAGGACTTCGGGTAAGTGGTGGGGTACCTGGGTAAAGAATGGGATTGGGTTAGAGGCCCAACTTAGGGGGGTTAGAGTCTCTCCTAAGACAGAGTGGGTTAGAGGCCCCTCTTAATAAAAGGCAAGGACACTTTACCAACCTCGGGTTAGAGGCCCAACTTAGGAGGGTTAGAGTCCCTTTTAAGGTTTACGGGGTTAGAGGCCCCTCTAAGTAAAGTTCCTCTCGGCTAAAAACAGATTACTGCTAATTAATCTGCCTTGCACTCTTTGCTGATAGCCGTGGATGACGGGGGTAGGCAGGTACAGGATCGTGGGACTTTGGCAGCTTTTTCCTCCCTAAACGGGGAAACTTGAGAGCTGATGGGATTGCTGGGAAAGATCCCTTTGCTACCGACAAGCGGCCACCTGAACTTTTCATTGTCGGCTGCAATGAGTGGGTCTTTCTCTGGCCTTCCTAAGCTCTTCACCTTCCCCACCCTGCCACAGCCAATACTTTCCTTCTCTACTTTTCCTTTCCTATCTTTCCTGTTACTCAGTGCAACCATCTTGCCCAGAGACCACGTGTTGAAACTCCAAGCCAGAGGCTGGATTAAAGATGACGGGGCCTATCTGGGGGCAAATTTAGCCCTTGCCAGTTTGATATTGGGTGCTACGCAGAGTGGATAATGTCTATGTTTTATCACACGTATTTTGCGATGGCCAGAATGAAAAAAAATAATTTTCCTTTATGATGCAACTTGGCCCTCAGGGTGATGGTGCCTCAAGCTGGATCACTAGGGCTACTCAGAGAAAGGGAACGCAGAAGCCTGGCATGCTGACAAAAGGGTAAGAATTTCTTACCAGTCAGATTTCTGGCTTCTCTCTCTCTGTGCAAACAGTTGAATGAATGGTTAAAAAAAAATGAAATAAATCAGTGTTTATCTCCTCTGTAAAGTTTTGATTAATGCGAAAAAGAATTCTAAGGCTAGTCTTAAGTTGGTGTATTTTGCGCTATGAATTCGTTTTTCTGTGTTGAAGGGTACTCCAGGATAAAACACGGGCTTAGAACACCTGTAAGCCCACTTTTCAAGATGACCTGCAAGCTGGTCAGTAACAAACTTGGCTGCAGGTCCCTGAAACAACCAAAAAAGTTGGATGAAGTCTCCACCTTGTTTTATGTCCTTGGGAGCTTGACATTTTAACCATGTGGCCATACTTTCTCTTGGTCTCCGCCTTCCAGGGAACAGGAATTTTAGGGTTCGTATCATAGTTAGCTCTAAATATCATATGAGATAGTTAAAAGCCTTTGCAAACTCAAAATTAACTACTCTAGACTCCTTCTGGGAAAGCACCTGGACACGGCCCTGTGCTCTAGCTCAGCAGTGAAGGTTTTGCCCTTTCCGGTGGTGATCTGGGTTCAATTCCCAACCTAGAAAGTAAGTTGTTTCTGGTTTAATATCTTCGTGACCTTGTCTGTTCTCTTCTCCTCCACAGACTATCCTAAATTTTCCTTTCTCTAAGCACCTGGGAGGTTACCTTTGGTAAAATTCAAAAGCCAGAAATAGCCATTTGGCATAAGAAATTCTAAAAGTACTTTATTAAAGAATGCTATGGTTAAAATCAGTTTAATTAAAAGCGAATATTCAAGCTCTAACAGCCTGGACCCCTTGGGAAAAGCAGGAAGCATCAGAGATCCCTTTCCTGGCCCCGTTTTTCCAACGGCTCCACCATAAAGCCAGTAATCCAATTAAGAAACAAAAACTAGCAAATGAAAAATCTTACAACTACCGTAGTAATCTTCTTCTGCCTTTCTGTGTAGCTATATATGTGTTGTGTGTAATGCTTATATAAAAGAGCTCTACTTAATTGGCTTAAACAAAAATAAGCACTTAAATATTTTGAAAGCAAAATAAAAACTGTAAATAAAAATTTAGTAATCTTTGGGAAATAAAAACAGCTTTAAAAATTATTGATAAGCAAGGCATGGTGCCTCGTGCCTGTAATCCCAGCACTTTGGGAGGCCAAGGTGGGCAGATCACTTGAGATCAGGAGTTCGAGACCAGCCTGGCCAACATGGCAAAACCCCGTCTCTACTAAAAATACAAAAATTAGCCAGGTGTGGTGGCGCACACCTGTAATCCCAGCTACTCGGGAGGCTGAGGCATGAGAATCACTTGAGCCCAGGAGGCGGAGGTTGCAGTGAGCCAAGAATGCACCACCGCACTCCAGCCTGGGTGATAGAGCAAGACTCCATCTCAACAACAACAACAACAACAAATTATTGATAAAAACATTTAGTCTAAATTATGCAGGTTAGATATTAAGTTGTTAAATGCTTTAAGGTCATAAACTCCTTCTTCTTCTTTTTTTTTTTTTTAGATGGAGTCTTGCTCTGTCGCTAGGCTGGAGTGCAGTAGCATGATCTTGGCTTACTGCAACCTCCACCTCCTGGGTTCAAGAGATTCTCCTGCCTCAACTTCCTGAGTAGCTGGGACTATAGGCATGCGCCACCATACCCAGCTAATTTTTGTATTTTTAGTAGAGACAGGGTTTCACCATGTTGGCCAGGATGGTCTTGATCTCTTGACCTCGTGATCCACTCGCCTCAGCCTCCCAAAGTGCTGGGATTACAGGCGTGAGCTACCAAGCCCGGCCTAAACTGCTTCTTTAACTTTTAAAAATTGTTCAATTTACCTACCTGAAAGCCATTGGATTCTAGATAAGGCCTGGGACATGTGGAATTAGCCATGGCCCCTAACTATACAAAGAAGATTATAAAGAAAGAGATTTTATATAAGAAAGGATCTTGTATGGTAAATTCTTGTCCTAGAGTAAAATGAATGGTTGTTTAAAAGGAGGGCAAGTCAGAAAGTCTGAGAATGTCTCAGATGGTCTGTGTAAGTCGTGAAAGGATTTGTGGAAGGGAATTTATATAAGAAATGTTGTACAATTCAAAGGTTGTTTGGCCTCCTAAATGCTTCATAAAATGCTACCATGACTCTTACTGTACAACTTTCCTGCTTCAGTAAGGTAAGGCCTGGGGACATGTGGAGTTAGCTTGAATAGGTTAACTCTCCTAGCTGTGCTAGAGCCTCAGCCCTTAGTTGCACTTCTGCCTGGTGTGTCCTAGGCTAGACTCCACACCTAGTACACAATTAAAAGCAAAATTGCTTACTAGGAGAGTTAACCTATTCATCACCGCTATTCAGCCTGAAGAAGTGACAGAAGATGGATCTTTGTCCCTCTGCAACCCTTAGGATTAAGGGATCTCTTATAAAAGGGAGGGGGTCAATGTCAGGGGCATGTGAACCAGAGCAACTCCATCTTAAATAGGAGCTGGGTAAAATGAGGCTGAAACCTTCTGGGCTGCCTTCCCACACAGTTAAGGCATTCTAAGTCACAGGATGAGATAGAAGGTCAGCATAAGGTATAGGTTATAAAGACCTTGCTGATAAGACAGGTTGCAGTAGAAGAGCTGGCCAAAACCTACCAAAACCAAGATGGTGACGAGAGTGACCTTTGGTTGTCCTCACTGCTACACTCCCACCAGTGCCACGACTGGTGTTTACAAATGCCATGTCAACATCAGGAAGTTACCCTATGTGGTCTAAAAAGGGGAAGCATGAATAATCCACCTCTTGTTTAGCATATCATCAAGAAATAACCATAAAAATGTGCAACAAGCAGCCCTCAGGGCTGCTCTGTCTATGGAGTAGCCATTCTTTTATTCCTGTACTTTCTTAATAGACTTGGTTTCACTTTGTACTGCGGACTCACCCTGAATTCTTTCTTGCTCGAGATCCAAGAACACTCTCCTGGGATCTGGATTGGGACCCCTTTCCTCTAACACAAGGTCAAGGGGCCTGTATCTGGCGAGGGCCTCCTTGCTGAATCATCCCATGGTGGAAAGTGGAAGGGCAACAGCGCACTTGTGGGAGAGAGAGCAGGACATCAAACTCACAGCCTCAAGCTCTTTTCTAATTGGCATAAATCCATTCATGAGGGTGGAGCCCTCATGACCTAAACACCTGCCATTAGGCCCCACCTCCCAACACTGTTGCATTGGAGATTAACTTTCCAACATGTGCTTTCATTTTCTAGGGGACACGTGCAAACCACAGCAAGGCCCTTGACTGCTGGGATGAGGTCGTGGCAGGTTGGGATGCAATGGCCTTACTTGAGGCTGATGGACCCTGGGCCTGTGTGTACAACTTGCTCTTGACTTAGGTTTCCCTCTGCAGGGGCTCTGATCCCTTCCCCCACCCCACCCCCTCTCCACCGCTGCACCAACAACCAGCAAAGGCTCCAGTACATTCCCCATGTGCTCCCCTGGCTTCCCCATTGGGGCTCACAAAATGGGGTGAAAGAGCTAATACCCCAGCAAAAGATATGCCAGGCCAGGGTCAAACCAGAGGGAAAAAGAGTTATCTATCCCCTTTGACCTCACATTCAGATATCAATTTTCTCTGGTCATGCTGATTTCTGTTTTATTATTTATGTTTCTTTTGTTACTTGGATTCTTGAAAGCCACCTAAACTCATTTATAAAAAAAGACAGACTTTTTTTTCTTTTTCTTTTTTGAGACAAAGTCTCATTCTTGTCCCCCAGGCTGGAGTGCAATGGCGCAATCTCGGCTCACTGCAACCTCGCCTCCCAGGTTCAAGTTCTCCTGCATCAGCCTCCCGAGTAGCTGAAATTACAGGCATCTGCCACCATGCCCAGCTAATTTTTGTATTTTTAGTAGAGACGGGGTTTCACCATTTTGGCCAGGCTGGTCTTGAACTCCTGACCTCAGGGGATCCACCCGCCTCAGCCTCCCAAAGTGCTGGTAATCCCAGCCCAGGCATGAGCCACCATACCTGGCCCTCTTTTTTTTCTTTTTAAAGTAAGTCTACTCTTATCTCAAAAGCAGATACAGTGTGATTCTGGGGGAGAAAATTATCCCCTAGTATGATGGGGCACAGTTATGTCTAAGACATATGAGAAGGTGGGGGGAGCCTGTGGTGTGTTGACCGCTGTGCTCACTTAGCTTCCAGAAACATCCTTTTACCTTATTCCTCTTCCTTCTCCCTGTTGCTGCCACCTGCTTCCCCTATTCCCCATCCACAGAAGGAGGGTCAGATGCCGCTTGGGAAGAGACAGTTCTCTCCTGCTATTGCTTTGCCCCTCTGAGAGTTCTCACAGAGGTAAAGGAAGAGGGAACCCCCATCTCATGGCCCCCACCCAGGCCCCTCATGCATAGGCCCCACAAAGCTCCTGGTGCACCCACCCTCACACGTGCTTCTGAAACCCTCCTCTCCCCACCTCACCGCAGCCTCAGGCCCCTCAGTGGCCCTCAGGCCTCCCCCTCGCCCCTTGTGTCTGACTCAAGCTCCCCAGCATCCTGTTGGATCTGACGCTCTCTCCCACTGAGAGCCCGGTGTAGGCTGCCAATCCCTGTTGGTAATAAACCCCTAAACCTGACTCTATGCCAGGCAGACACCTGTGTGATGGGGCTCCAGGCTCTGGGTCCATGTGACTTCTGTCCCGGGAGGCAGCCTATGGCACCGCGCACAAAAGCCTCCAGGCAGGAGCCCACTACTTGGGCTTAAATCTGCCACTTAACTGTGTGCCCTTGGTCAAATCACCTGACTGTTTTTTGTTGCTTGCTATTGTTTTTAAATTTTATTAAAATACACACAACATAAAATGTACCATTTTAGCCATCTTTAAGTGTACCGTTCAGTGGCATTAAGTACATTTACAATGTTGTTCAAATTACTACCATCCATCTTCAGAACGCCTTCCATCTTGCAAAACTCTAACTCTAGGAAATTCTGACACAGTCTCCAACACGGATGAACCTTGAGGACGTGTGAGTCGGTCATAAAAAGACAAATATTGTGTGATTCCACTTACATGAGGTACCTAGAGTAGTCATGTTCACAGAGGCAGACAGTAGCAAGGATGCCAGGGCCTGGGAGAGACAAGAGCAGGGAGTTGTTAAACCGGCACAGAGCTTCGGTTTTGGAAGATACAGAGCTCTGGAGGTTGATTACACAACAATGTGAATGTACTTAACTCTAATGAGCTATACACTTAAAAATGTATAAGGTGGTGCCAGACGCGGTGGCTTATGCCTGTAATCCCAGCACTTTGGGAGGCCGAAGAGGGCGGATCATCTGAAGTCAGGAGTTCAAGACCAGCCTGGCCAACATGGTGAATCCCCGTCTCTACTAAAAATATAAAAACATCAGCCGGGCATTGTGGCGTGTGCCTGTAATCCCAGCTACTCAGGAGGCTGAGGCAGGAGAATTGCTTGAACCTGGGAGGTGGAGGTTGCAGTGAGCCGAGATCGTGCCACTGCACTCTAGCCTGGGCAACAGAGCAAGACTCCATTTCAAAAAAAAAAGTGTAAGGTGGTAAATTTTATACTGTGCATTTTTCCACAATTAAAACATTTTAAAAACCCTGAAACTCTGTACCTCATCTCTTTTTTTTTTTTTTTTTTTTGAGACAGGGTCTTGCTCTGTCACCCAGGCTGGAGTGCAGTGGTGTGGTCACAGCTCACTGCAACCTCTACCTCCCAGGCTCAAGTGATCCTCTTACCTCAGCCTCCCGAGTAGCTAGGACTACAGGTGTGTACCACCACGTCTGGCTAATTTTTGTATTTTTAGCAGAGATGAGGTTTCACCATGTTGTCCAGGTTGGTGAACTCCTGGCTTCAAGTGATCCACCCACCTCATCCTCCCAAAGTGCTGGGATTACAGGCATGAGCCAGTGCGCCCGGCCCCCTCATTTCTTTTTGCCTCTATTTCGTCATCTGTAAAATGAGAATAATAAGAATATCTACCTCCTAGGGTTGTGGTGAGGATTGGCCCAGGGAATCATTTTCCTTGGTGCCTGGCCATCTAATTGCCCTTGTGTTGGTGATTATGTTTCATGTTGAGAAGGGCAGGAAGCAGGTGTAATTAGACGATGAACTTTTCTGAGGAAGCAGATGGGGTGGAGTTGTAAGAAGGAAGTCCATTCCGAGTCCTTGGGCATCTACCCTGCAAGAGACAAGAGTTCATCAATGTTTATTTGAACATCTGGATCCCAGGAGAACTGCTGAGTTTTCCTAATTATGTAGACTCTAATAATTTTGAATTTGTGATCATTTATAAAGAGAAGGCAGACGTTCCTGAGTCTTTAACCAGGCAACAGTGAGGCTGACCTCATTTTTGACACGTACTAGACACACACTAGGTTGAGTGCAGAAAATATTTCTAAATTTCTTTCTTTTTTCTTTTTTTTTGAGACAGGGTCATACTCTGTCACCCAGGCTGGAGTACAGTAGTGGAATATTGGCTCACTGCAACCTCTACCTCCTGGGCTCAAGCAATCCTCCCACCTCAGCCTCCCTGGTAGCTAGGACGACAGGTGCACACCACCACACCGGTTTTTTGTTTGTTTGTTTGTTTGTTTTTGCATTTTTGGTAGAGATGGGGTTTCACAATGTTGTCCAGGCTGGTCTCAAACTCCTGACCTCAGGTAATCTGCCCACCTTGGCCTCCCAAAGTGCTGGGATTACAGGCATGTGCACTGGAGCCTGGTAATTCGGTGATTTCTAAATTTCTTAACATAATAAACTGCCTCCCAGACCTTCAGCAGGGGTTTCTAGGAATATGGTTGCGAATTATCTCACCTTCTAGTTAAGCAGATATTCACCGATATTTTTTCTTAATTCATTCTTTAAAAAAATTTTAATAGTTAATTTTGGTAAAATACACATAACATTTACTATCTTTATTTTATTTATTTATTTATTTTTTGAGACAGAGTTTCACTCTTGTTGCCCAGGCTGGAGTGCAATGGCACGATGTTGGCTCACTGCAACCTCCGCCTACCAGGTTCAAGTGATTCTCCTGCCTCAGCCTCCTGGGTAGCTGAGATTACAGGCATGTGCCACCACGCCCGGCTAATTTTGCATTTTTGGTAGAGACGGGGTTTCTCCATTTTGGTCAGGCTGGTCTCGAACTCCCGACCTCAGATGATCCACCCGCCTTGGCCTCCCAAAGTGCTGGGATTACAGGTGTGAGCCACCGCGCCTGGCCTATCTTAACCATTTTTAAGTGTACAGTCCAGTAGTATTAAGTGCATTCACATTGTTGTGCAAACCATTTAAAAATATATATTCATAAAAAGTCTCATGAGTCTCATGAAACTATAAAATGTAATTACATTTAATAAAAAATTTTATTAAAAGGAATAAAATAGCCAGGTATGGTGGTGGTGCACCTGTAGTCTCAGCTGCTCTGGAGGCTGAGGTAAAAGGATCACTTGAGCCCAGGAGTTCGAGGCTGCAGTGAGCAATGATTGTGCCATTGCACTCCTAGCCTGGGTGACAGAGCAAGACCCTGTCTCAAAAAAAAGCAACAAAAAATCAAAAACTAACAAAAAGGAAAAAAAATCATACCTTTAAAATCTGGGAGATGTAGACCCCAATTCCGTGGAATCCCACCATACCAGCCAGAGGCCTGGACTCTCCCCTCCTCCCAGTACTCACCACATGACTGGGAGGGGGCAACTGAGCAGGGTCCTCATTCTAAGGAAAGATCCAGCTGTAGATAAGCAGCAAAAGTAAATGAAGCAAAGAAAGGAGATTACTCCAAGGGGCTTTACAGCATCTGTTAAACCAAATGTTTTCTGACATTTGCAATAACTCTCTTGGGATCTTACTCTGAGGACAATAATGACCTCATTTCCCCCTAATTTCCTCCTCCAGCCAACCCTCAGGCAAGCCTGGGACATTCTCTTGAGGTGAAGGGATTGACAGAGCCTGAGGCTGAGAGGGGTGAGGGGTGGGAGGCGCTGCCTGCAGTCCAGTCCTGCAGATGTATATGTGCAAGCGAGTGGGCTGGCACACTGCCACTGGGAGAGAGACCTCCCAAGCCCCTCAGTGCCTCATCCCCTCCCTCTGCCCCCATCCTAATGTGGTGGCCACAGCACTCATGCTGGGAACCTGGAGACACTGGCTTTTCTTTTTTTTCTTTTTTTGAGCTGGAGTCTTGCTCTGTTGCCCAGGCTGGAGTGCAGTGGTGCAATCACAGCTCACTGCAACCTCTGCCTCCCGGGTTCAAGTGATTCTTCTGCCTCAGCCTCCTGAGTAGCTGGGGTTACAGGCATGCACCACCATGCCCAGCTAATTTTTGTATTTTATAGTAGAGACGGGGTTTCATCATGTTGGCCAGGCTGGTCTTGAACTCCTGACCTCAGATGATCCGCCCCCCTTGGCCTCCCAAAGTGCTGGGATTACAGGCCTGAGCCACTGCACCTGGCCAACATCAGCTTTTATCTTTTAGTTTATAGCTTTACTGAGATTATAATTGACGTACAATAAACTGGACATATTCGAAGTATACACTTTGATAAGTTTTGACATATGTATATACCTGTGAAACCATCACTACCAGATAGTGAACATATACATCTTCCCTGAATGTTCCCTCCAGCCTCTTGTAATCCTTTCCTGCCCCTCAGTACCCCAGCCCCTTCCCCCCCACTCTCAAGTAATCACTGATCTGCTTTTAAATTATAGACTGATATTCTTTTATAGAATCTTATATATATGGAACAGCACATTATGTACTTTTTTCAGTCCAGGTTTTTTCACTCAGCATAATTATTTTGATATCCATCTGTTGTTGCACATATCAATGGTTCATTCCTTTAATAGCCAAGTAGTATTCCTTTGTATTAATATACCATAATTTGTTTATACATTTCACTGCTGATGGACATTTGGGTTGTTTCCAGTGTGGGGATGATATGGTCTGGCTCTGTGTCCCCACCCAAATCTCATCTTGAATTGTAATCCAAATTGTAATCTCCACATGTTGGGGGAAGGACCTCATGGGAGGTGACTAGATCATGGGGGCAGTTCTCCCATGCTGTTCTCATGATAATGAGTGAGTTCTCACGAGATCTGATAATTTTATAAGGGGCTTTTCCCCTCTTTGCTCTACACTTCTCCTTCCTGCCGTCATGTGAAGAAAGATGTGTTTGCTGCCCCTTCCACCATGATTGTAAGTTTCCTGAGGTCTCCTCAGCCATGTGAAACTGTGAATCAATTAAACCTCTTTCCTTTATCAATTACCCAGTCTCAGGCAGTTCTTTATAGCAGTGTGAGAACAGACTAATACAGGGGACATCACAGATAAAGCTGCTATGAACATTTGTGTACAAGTCTTTGTATGGACACATGCTTTTATTTCTCTTGGGTAAATACCTAGGAGTAGAAAGGTTGGATCACATGATAGGTGCATGTTTATTTCAGAAACTATCTCATCCTTTTCCAAAGTGGTTGTACCATTTTATAGTCCCACCAGCAGTGCATGAGAGTTCAGGTTGCTCTATATCCTTGCTAGTATTTGGTACTGAAAGTCTTTAATTTTAGACATTCTGCTAGGTGTTTAGTAATAACTCATTGTGGTTTTGATTTATATTTCCTTAACAGCAAATAATTTTGAGCATCTTATTTGTCATCTGCATATCTTTACTGGTGAAGAGTCTATTTAAATCTTTTGCCTATTTTAAAAATTGGGTTGTTTATCTTTGAATCTTGAGAGCTTTAAAAAATATAACCTAAATACAAGTTCCTTATTAGATATAAAACTTGCAGTCTGAGATTTGTCTTTTCATTCTCTTAACAGTGTCTTATGAAGAACAGAAGATTTATTTTTAAAAGTCTAATTTATCTATTGTAAAATTGTATGGATCATATTTTGGTGTCATGTGTAAGAAATCTTTGCTTAACAGAAGGGCACAAAAGTTTTTCTTGTGAGTTCCTCCAGATATTTTGTAGCTTTGGTTTTACATTGATCAATTTTGAGTTAATTTTTGTATAGTAGTCCCTCTTTATCTGAAGTCTTACTTTCCACAGTTTCAGTTACCCATGGTCTGAAAGTATTAAATGGTAAATTCCAGAAATGAACAATTCATAAGTTTTAATGTGCACACTGTCCTGCTCCGTCTCACTAGAGTTGTGAATCAGCCCTTTGTCCAGTGTATCCACACTATGTAGTATGTATGCATAGGAAAAAACATGGTCTATACAGTATAGGGCCCTGTACTATCCCTATTCAGGCATCCACTAGGGGTTTCAGAATGTATCCCCTTCAGATAAGGGGGGTGCCTACTGTATATGGTAAAAGGTATGAATAAAAGCTTATTTATTTGCATTTGCATATCCAATTGTTGATCATCGTTTGTTGAAAATACTTTTTTCTTCATGGAATTGCCTTTGCACGTTTGTCAAAATGAGTTATGTATTGTATTTGTTTCCTAGTGTTGCATAGCAAATTACCACAAATTTGATGGCTTAAAACAACAGAAATTTATTCTCTCTCAGTTCTGGAGGCCAGACATCTGAAATCGATGTGTCGCAGGGCCACCCTCCCTCTGGAGGATCTAGGGGAGAACCCTTCCTCGCCTCTTCCAGTTTCTAGTGGCTCCAGACATTCCTTTGCTTGTGGTAGCCTCCATTTTTATAAGGCCATCTAGCCATATGGCTCTCAGTGTGGCCCTCTTCTTATAAGGATACCTGTCATTGGATTTAGGGCATATTCAAAATGCAAGATAATCTCATCTTGAGATCCTTAACTTAATTACATCTGCAAAGATCCTTTTTCCAAATAAGGTCATTTTCACAAGTCCCAGTGAACACATTTTTTTGGGTGGGATATAAGTCAATCCACTACACACATTTATGTGCAGGTCTATTTCTGGATTCTTTTTTTTTGTTCCATTTGTCTTTTCTGTCAATATTACACTGACTTAGTGTAAACTGTAAGCAAGGTATGTCTCTCCATTTATTCAGATCTTTTAAAATTTATCTCAGCAATATTTTATAGTTTTCAGTGTACAGGTCTTTCACATCTATTATCAGATTTATCCCTTTTAAAAAAACTTTTATTTATTTAATTAATTAATTTATTTTAGAGACAGGGTCTCCAGCTTATCATTCAGGCTGGAGGGCGGTGGTGCAATCGTAGCTCACTTCAGCCTTGAACTCCTGGCCTCAAGCAATCCTCCCACCTCTGCCTTCCAAACCTATTTCATATTTTTTATGTGCTTAAAAAGGGTACCTGATGGGGTTTGGCTGTGTCCCCACCCAAATCTCAGCTTGAATTATAGCTCCCATAATTCCCATGTGTTGTGGGAGGGACCCAGTGGGAGATAATTGAATCCTGGGGGCTGTTTCCCCCATACTGTTCTCATGGCAGTGAATAAGTCTCACGAGATCTGATGGTTTTATAAGGGGAAATCCCTTTAGCTTGGTTCTCGTTCTTTTTCTTGCCTGCTGCCGTGTAAGACATGCCTTTCACCTTTCACCATGATTGTGAGGCCTCCTCAGCCATGTGGAACTGTGAATCCATTAAACCTCTTTTTCTTTATAAATTACCCAGTCTCAGGTATGTCTTTATCAGCAGTGTGAGAATGGACTAATATAGTACCATTATTTTAATTTCAATTCATTGTTAGCATATACAAATACAATTGATTTGTGTATACCCACCTGAATCTTGCAATCTTGCTAAACTCACTTATTAGCTCTAGTAGCTTATTTGTAGAGTCAATCAGATTTTCTTCATATAATCTGAGAATAAACAGTTTAACTTCTTTCTTTCTAATCTGTGTTTCTTTTCCTTCTTTACTTATGCATTGGCTGAAGTCTCTAGTAAAATGTTAATAGAAGTGGCAACAGCAGACATTCTGATGGGCTCTTGATCTTAGGAGGAAGGCATTCAGTCTTTCACCATTAAGTCTGATACTAGTTGTAGGTAAGGTGACCAGTGAGCTCGGTTTTCCTGGGACTGAAGGGTTTCCAGGGATGCACAACTTTCACTGCTAAAATTGGGATAGTCCTGAGCAGACCAGGATGTTTGGTCACCCTACTTGTAGGTTCTGGGTCTGTTTCAAGGATTAATTTTCCTCCTCATTATGGGTTGTATTTTCCAGTTTCTTTGCATGCTTGGTAAGTTTTTCATTGAATACTGGACATTGTGAATTTTACTTTTTGGATGCTGGATTTTTTTTTTTTTTTTTTTAAACAGAATCTCACTCTGTCACTCAGGCTGGAGTACATTGGCACAATCTTAGCGCAATGCAACCTCCACCTCCTGGGTTCAAACAATTCTTGTGCCTTAGCCTCCCAAGTAGCTGGGACCACAGGCACATGCCACCATGCCAGGCTAATTTTTGTATTTTTAGTAGAGATGGGGTTTCACCATGTTGGCCAGGCTAATCTCGAACTCCTGACTTCAAGTGATCCGCCTGCCTCAGCCTCCCAAAGTGCTGGGATTACAAGCATGAGCCACCACACCCGGCCTGGATATTTTTTGTATTCCCATAAATATTTTAAAATTGGAATTTTGTTCTGGGATGCAGTTAAACAACTTGAAACAGTTTTTTTGTTTTTATTTTTTGTTTTTTGTTTTTTTTTGAGATGGAGTCTTGCTCTGTCGCCCAGGCTGGAGTGCAGTGGCACGATCTCGGCTCACTGTAAGCTCTGCCTCCCAGGTTCACACCATTCTCCTGCCTCAGCCTCCCGAGTAGCTGGGCCTACAGGTGCCCGCCACCACACCCAGCTAATTTTTTTGTATTTTTAGTAGAGACGGGGTTTCACTGTGTTAGCCAGGATGGTCTCGATCTCATGACCTCGTGATCTGCCTGCCTCGGCCTCCCAAAGTGCTGGGATTACTTGCCCAGCCTTGAAACAATTTTATATTTCAGGTCTTCAAGATTTGTTAGGTGGGATGAAAGCAGTATTTAGCCTAGAGCTAATTCTTTTCCACTGCTGAAGCAAGATCCTCCTGAGTACTCTCCCCAATGCTCCGTAGATGATGAATTTTTCCAGGCTGACTGCTGGGGCTGGAAAGTAGTCCCAGCCCTGTGTGAGCTCTGGATACTCCTCTTTTATCCTTTTGGATGGTTCTTTCCTTGCACATATGCTGGTGAGTTCTCTGCTCAATACTTGCAGAGAAGGCTCTGCAGATTTCTGGGGTTCTCCCTCTGTGTGACTCTCTCCTCTTGGGTACTCTGTTCTGTGTGCTGCAGCTGCCTCAACCTCCCCAGACTCCCAGCTCCTCCTCACTTACAAAATCTGCTGGGCTCCACTTTGGTATCACTTCCCTGCACATTTCTCTCCCAAGACAGCAAATAGGGCATTGTAAGGCTTGCCTTGTTTGTTTCCCATCTCTCAAGTATCACTGTCTTTTGTTGCCTGACACATAGGGTCTTGGAAACCATTTCTCCTATATCCCTCCATTGGGCTAGGAGCTCCCAGAGGGCAGGGGCTATGCCTTTTTTTTTTTTTTTTTTTTTTTAATCAGACTGGGTGCTACTTGAGAGCAGGCAAGATCTAAGCCTCTTCCTTCCTCCTCATCCTTCCCTTAGAGCATGCAAAACAAGCCCATTCCAACAGATACTTAACGCCATAGCATTTTATGGAGTGGTTATTCTCACCCAAGTCCATGTTTGCTTTCATGTGACACAAATTAAGCTTCAGTCCCTTCAGTCCGCTGTTTCTTCCATTAGGTGGCTCCTGAGGTTACACATCCTCCAGGAAGTCTTCCTGGATGGAGAAAGATGATGTTTCTTGCCATGTTATCAGCCCAGGAGTTTGCAAATCCTCTTTCCTTTGTTTTCCATTATCACAGAGAACGCCTCAGAACTCCTCTCCCCAATCTCAGGTTTCCCCAGGAACATTTTAATCAACCCTACCAGTCCCATGAAACGTATGTGATTTACAGTTCAAATAACTTTGGGAAGTATTGCTGGCCACATCTCACCCATGAAGATTCACAGAGCATATGATGATTTTAAAGACCCTGATAAGTATGGTAGTACCGAAACCTGTTTGCTTTGTTGACACGTTTCCTAAATGTATTTGATCCCATTAACTCTTTTTGCTCTCAGAACCTCTCTGGATTATTTATTATTCCTAGGAACATACTTGAAGGAACACTAAACCAAATCATCATGAACAAATATGAGATTCTTCTTTTTTTCCCTTTTCCCTGAGAGCTCCAGAGATTGCATCAGATGAATGTTTGTTGGGTAAATGGTTAAATGAAATATGTGAAATCATTCTCAACAACCCATTGTGATTGTAACTGCCCTCATGGATCAGGTTGGATTACCCTGGGACTGCCCTCGGTCTCTCCCACTGCAGGTGCAGCTGCTCCCCCTACCCTGTGTTCTTCAAACCCCACTTTAGTTCATTTCCTCCTGTTTGGAATTGGTTGAATGCAACATGAGTAAGGCTGTGTGCGCAGACTGATAAGAATGCAGCTGAAGGGCAGCACCACAGTATTGCACAAACTCAGGGGACACCCTGAAGTGTCCCTTGGAGTTGTAAGGGAGAGTCTACAAGTAGAAGCTCCATGGCTTTGTCATTTCTAGATCTCTGATCATACTATTCTTCTGCTTGGAATGCTGTTCTGCTCATTTATTTGTCAAAATTCTATCCAACCTTCATGGCCGGGCCAAATACTAACTCAATGAAATCTTCCTAGGTTCCTCAGGCGGCATTAGAATCCTCTATGTCCCCCCATGGCTTATCAGAGTCTGTCTTTGAACATGATTAGTTGTGTCCAGGCTTTTCTCCCAGACTAGAGTATGTATTTCATAAACATAGGAGCTATGTCTTACTCATTTCTGGATCTCTGGTTCTTAACACAGCACCTGGCCTGGAAGAAGCTCAGTGGTTGTTTCAGGAGTGAATGAATGAACAAGTGAACTGACACCCAGTGGAAACACAAAAGAGCAGGCATTCTCAGCCCTTCTGGGAAAGTCTTAGGCGTAGCATAAAATAATTTTCAGGAACTCATGGCAGACTGACAAGGGAGGAAGAAAGTTTGGGACATTAGGGCACATGTCCATGTGTCATCTCTGGGTAAAGCCAGGGAATTGGTGAGGCCCAGTTCAATGTCCAGCCTGCTGTGTGGATGTCGTCATGCTGCTGGACATTAAAACCTGGTACATGAACACTCAGTGTGTTTGCAAAAAAGGATCCAGAGTGCACACAACTATGCACACTCATGTATGCACAGGGACAACTTAGGCAAAAACAGGAACTGTCATACGTGATCACACCCACATGGATATCTGCAAACGTACACTTGGATGGCAAGCCATGCAGAGATACTTGTAAAGTGCCCATGAACACACACACGCTCAGCAATCTTTGTGGCCCAAGAAACAAAGCTGAGTGTGATAACGGGTGTTAAGGGGCAAGGACATGAGAGCCCCAAGCAAACATCTGAGCTCTCTCTTGATCACCAAAGTCAAATAAAGTTGTAAAAGCTAAATGTTGAACTACTCCCCACCCTCCTTTCTCTTTTCCAGAAAGTAGGACTTCAGGCAATAGGCAGGCGAGATCCTTACAGCTATTGCCTCCTATAAGGAGCACAGCATCCTGTGAGGATGCCAAGCAAGCAGCAAGCCAGTTCAGACCTTTATTTGCACAGCTCTGCACTAGATGGTAGGGAGGCCTCAGGGAGGTGGGCAACTTCCATGCTAATCTTCAACTTTGGGCCATGCCCCTACTGCAGTGGGGTTAGTTCTGCCTCCTGTTCAATGCTTATATCTTGCCTGTAATTCGTTCCAGCTCCTATCAATAGCAATCATGGTGGGGTGTGTGTGTGTGTGTGTGTGTGTGTGTGTGTGTGTGTGTGTGTGTGTGTTTGTGTGTGTCCATGTCCTCTGTCTGGCCAGGAGCTTCCTAAGAGCAGGGGTCATGCCTCCCACAGTTAGGCTGAGCATCTCTTTAGGGGAGACCATGCCTCTCCTGGGATCCTCCAGTGGGAAAAAAGCATTGTTTTTTGTTTGTTTGTTTTTGAGATAGTCTTACTCTGCCACCCAGACTGGAGTGCAGTGGTGTGATGTCAGCTCACTGCAATCTCCACCTCCTAGGTTCAAGCGATTCTCATGCCTCAGCCTCCTGAGTAGCTGGGACTACAGGTGTATATCACCGTGCCCGGCTAATTTCTGTATTCTTTTGGTAGAGACGGGGTTTCACCATGTTGGTCAGGCTGGTCTTGAACTCCTGACTTCAAGTGATCCTCCGGCCTCAGCCTCCCAAAGTGCTGGGATTACAGGCATGAGCCACCATGCCTGGCCAGAAAAAAGCATTGCTTTTTCCTTGTCTTCACACTCGCCAAGGGCCCTGAATAAGCGTGGTTTCTGAGTCGGGTTTCTGTCAATGATCTGTTGCTGTCTCACCCCTACAGATCTTTTGAGAAACGCTTGCTGCAGATAGCTTTTCACATGGGGCCCTCGTGAGCCATCAGACTTTGGGATTCAATCTTTGGCAGGCTCAGAGGCCTGCAGGCCTGGGAACTGTTGCCAGCTCAATCCTAGCTGCAGCACCCCAAGGGCTGAGCGCTCTCAGGTTTCTTGGCATATTTGGATCGCTAGGGAATTGTTGAGAACCTGAGATTTCCTTAATAATTTACATCCATGTTCCTCCCTTTACAGGATCACAGGGCCCTGGACAACGTCAGTGAACATTATCCTGGGGTAACCCAGTCTCCTAGGTCTGGTAACAACAACAAGGGAAACAATCCAAAGGATTACCTTGAACTCTGGCCAGCACCGTGGGAGACTTGGACCTAGTGAAGGCCGGTGACCCGGAAGGGCCCCTTAACTCTGGCCAGCACCGTGGGAGACTTGGACCTAGTGAAGGCCGGTGACCCGGAAGGGCCCCTTAAGCTCAGTAATGGGCCTCCACTTGCTGGGAGGTAAAGGGTAATTCAGAAAAAGAAAGCCAAATGCTTTGGGAGACTTAGGAGAAAAGATGGAGGCTCTGTTTTTCCCAACCTCGTAGCCTGGTGGGAGGCTGAGTGAGGTTACTCTCACCTTCTAGGGCACTGTCTAAACTGGAGTGTCTGTTGGTCATTCTTGTGCCTTTTCCTTCCACCTGTGCTCTGGGACCTCCCCTTGTCCCATGGTTTTGCTTCTACTCCCTCCTCCTCCTCTCTCTCCACTGGCTCCATCCCCTCAACATAGAAACACTCCAGGTCTTTGGAATGTTAAAGTCCCTTTTGTCCTTCCAGTTGCTACTTTACCTCTGTCCTTCCCTTCCTGGATAAGCCACTGGAAAGTGACTAAGGACTCTATCCCCTTCCTCTCCTCCCACTGCCCACTGCCCCCTGGTCTCCTCCTCTTGCTCCACAGAAGCAGAGCCCCTCTGTGATTTATTTTATTTTTATTTTTATTTTTTTGAGTTGGAGTCTTGCTCTATTGCCCAGGCTGGAGTGCAGTGGCACGATCTTGGCTCACTGCAAACTCCACCTCCCAGGTTCAAGCGATTCTCCTGCCTCAGCCTCCCAAGGAGCTGGGACTACAGGCATGCACCACTAGGCCCACCTATTTTTTTTATTTTTAGTAGAGCCAGAGTTTCACTATGTTGGCCATGCTGGTCTCAAACTCCTGACCTCAGGTGATCTGACCACCTCGGCCTCCCAAAGTGCTGGAATTACAGGCATGAGCCACCACGCCCGGCCCCCTCTGTGATTTAAATACCCAAATACATCACAGACACCTGGGTGTTCCACAGGAAACTACAAACTTGATATTCGTCAAAAGCTGATTGAACACCTCCTCTGCACCAGACATTGAACTATAAAGTCAATACAATGAGGGTCAAGAAGCTTATGACTTGATGGTAAACAGAGATGTAAACTGACTATTACCAGTCTGGTTGCTAAGGGATACAATTGATATATGCCCAGATGTTATGGAACCCAGGGAAGACCATTGTACTGGGAGAGGAAGAGCAACTGGTCCTTCAGAGAAGGCTTACTGGAGGAATGGGACTGGAACTGAGGTCTGAAGGATGTGTAGAAAGTGAGAAGAAGAAATTGGGATTTTGGATATGGAATGCTTTCAGTTTCAAATGACAGAAACCTTACTCAGGCCAGAGGAAGCAAACCAGGGAACTGTATAACTGGGACGACTGGGTGAAGCTGGCCTCAGACACACAAGCATTCAGGTTTGCGGCTCTCCTCAGACTTACCTCTGCTGCTTCTTCCTCTGTGTTGGACTCATTCTCTCCTAATCAGGTTAGCTTCCTCCAGGTTTCAGGGGCAGGAGGGCCCTGGCCACAGGCAGTTCCAGGCTTATATTAACCGAGTTTTTTGGCTCCAGAAAAAAGAGAGAACTTTCCCAGCACCCATATGTAAAATCCCACGGAAGGGCTCTGATTGGCCCAGCTTGGGTCATGTGCCAATCCCAGGTCAATCACTGTGGCTGGGGGATGGGTACTGTGACTGAACGGGCCTGGATCTGCTACCCAGCACTGGGAATAGGGGACAGGATACTGTGGTTGGCAGTTCCATTAGGACCACATGGAATGAGGGGGGATGCTGAGAACACTAAAGCAACAGATGTTCATAACAGAGAGCTTTCTAGACAGAGAGAATCACACATGCAAAACCATTCAACAGCCAGGGAACGTGGCTGAGAATTACTAGTAGTTTTGTGTTGCTGGAACTAAGGATGAACTTGGGTGAGTGACAAGAAATAAACCTAGAGAAGAATGAATGTGGAGGGCCATACATGCTAAACAATAGAGTGTGAATGTTATCCTGAAAGCTATAGAGAATCTTTCAAAAATGTTATATCAGATATTTGTATGATCAGGTTATATTATTTGTGGAAAAATCCTTTTGCCCATAGATCTATTCTCTTGCTTTCTTCCTTCAGTTAATGGTATCCTCCATCCCTGCAACGTCATGAACTAGAAACTGGGGGAATCTTGGGGCAATTTCCCTCTGCCAAGTCCTTTTTGGGGCCCCTCTCAAGGAGCCATTCCTTTCTATTCTGTGACGCTGCCTGTGTCTGTTCAGGCCTCTGCCTGTTCTTGCCAGGACTACTATGGTGGGCCCCCCTAACTTGTACCAAGGCATCTGCTCTTTCAGGGAATTTCCTGTTCCCCAACCTAGCCTGGGGCAGACTGGTTCTCTCTGCTTTGGTAGCTAATACGGTTGGATGTTTGTCCCTTCCAAATCTCATGTTGAAATGTAATCTCCAGTGTTGGAGGTGGGGTCTGGTGGGAGGTGTTAGGGTCATGGGGGTGGATCCCTCATGAATGTCTTAGTGCCCACCTCGCAGTAATGAGTCTCATTCTATTAGTTCACAAGAGAGCTGGTTGTTTAAAGAGACTGGCACCTTCTCCCTTCTCTCTCTTGCCCTCTGTCACCATGCGATGTGCCTGCTCCCGCTTCGCCTTCTGCCATGATTGTAGGCTCCCTGAGTCCTCACCAGAAGTAGATGCTGGCGCCACACTTCCTGTACAGCCTTCAGAACCATGAGCCAAAATAAACTCTTTTCTTTATAAATTACCCAGTCTCAGGTATTTCTTTTTAGCAATGCAAACAGACTAACACAGTAGTCCATATCCCTCTCCTAGCAGTTATCACCCTGCCTCATAACCATTTACCGTCTGGCTCTGCACCGTGTGCTGTGTGTGCATATGCTCTAAGGATGCTCTGTTTTCACTGCTCAGCCCAGCTGCAGGGATAGCACCCAGTGCACTATAGATATTGCATACACGAATAAACCAACCCCAGCCCTTTAATAAGATTGGCAAATGAAAGCACCCTATAGCTTTAAAAAAAAAAATAAGAAAGAAAAAAGTTCTAAGGCCTTAGTGAACCACTCTGAAACAAAGGTTTTTCCTCATCAACTTCCAAGCTTCCAATGCTCATGTTCTTTTTTTTTTTTTTTTTTTTTTTGAGATGGAGTCTTGTTCTGTCAGCCAGGCTGGAGTGCAGTGGCATGATCTCGGCTCACTGCAACCTCCACCTCCTGGATTCAAGTGATTCTCCTGCCTCAGCCTCCCAAGTAGCTGGGATTACAGGCATGTGCCACCACACCCAGCTAATTTTTGTATTTTTAGTAGAAACGGAGTTTCACCATGTTGGCCAGGGTGGTCTCGAACTCCTAACCTCAAGCGATCCCCCTGCCTCAGCCTCCCAAAGTGCTGGCTTACAGGTGTGAGCCACTGGGCCAGGCTCATGTTCTTTTTCTCTATCCTTCTCTCTCCCCTATGTAACTCTCTACCTTGTCCGACTATGCATGATATAGAACTGAAATCTGCAGTGTGTGTGGATGTATGTGTGTGAGTACATGCAATGCTTTATTTACCTGTTTTAATTTGAAAATGTGAATAGTCATGTAGTTTTTCTGAATTGTGTGGTGAGTTTGAGTTTTAATTTTCATATTACAATAGCCCTTGGTGGTTTTAATTTTCATATTACAGTAGCCCTTATAGTAGGAATACACGTTTTGTATTCCTAACATAGCTGTATAAAAAACACTCCTTAAGCTATGCACAGGCGTGCGCGCGCACACACACACACACACACACACACTCATAGTCACTCACTCTATCCTTGTTGTCCATGTTACAGGTATTGATGTAAAGTCCTTTAAGTATTTTTGTAAGAAAACGTTTCTAAGTTGAATCCTCTGAACTGAATATCGTGCCATAGAAAAGATATTCTCAAAAGCATCTCTTTGCAGCTCATGGGACTGAAAACATCCATGGGCTCAGCACAAATGCACCTAACACATTCCACTCCTTTTTCAGAGGTAACCATACGGAAATAAATGATAGGAATAATGCCGAATATATTTCAGTTATTTAAAAGCAAGTTATTTACATACTTAAGTACTTTGAGTACACAGAACAGCACCTTGACTTCACTTCTATTTGTTTATTCTGTTGATTTTAAAAAAATTCTGTCTGCTTTTTATGTAATGGGACTTTTATTATCAGAGTTGAATTCAGTATCTATTGCTTTGTAACAGATTACCCCAACATTTAGTGGTTTCAAACCACACGCGTGTATGATCTCCCAGTTTCTGTGTGTTGGGAATCCGGGCATGGCTTCGCTGGGAGACTTACCCAGCTGCAGTCAAGGTTCAACTGGGCACTGATCCGCTTCTAAGCAGTTGGTGGCAGGATTCAGTTTCTTACAGGCTGCTGGACCAAGGGCTTCAGTTCCTGGTCGGCTGTTGGCGGAGGCCACCCTCAGTTCCTGGCCATGTGGGCCTCTCTAACATGGCAGCTCACTTCATCAAAGCCAGCAAGAGAGAGAGCCTGCATTACAACCTCTTGTGACCTAATCACAGATGTGATATTTCATCAACTTTGCTATATTCTACTTGTCAGAAGCAAGTTACCAGATTCAACTCACACTCAAGGGAAGGGAATTACACAAGGATATTAGTATTGAGATATGGGGGGTCATTGGGGAAAATTTTAGAAGTTGGTCTTCTACAAGATGAAGCCATTAAAAAAAGAGACTATTTGAATATGTCACCTTTGCTCTTTTATATTGAATGAGAGCTCCATCAATACTTTTTTGTTAACCCCCTGATTAAAACACACTGGTTTACTTAAATACTTTATTCTCAAATATTAAATGGAAAACAAAACATGATTTCTTTATTTTTTATTTTTTTTTTAGATAGGGTCTCTTGCTCTGTCACCCAGGCTGGAGTGCAGTGGCACAACCATAGCTCACTGCAACCCTGACCTACTGGGCTCAAGCAATCCTCCTGCCTCAGCCTCTTGAGTAGCTGGGACTACAGGTGTGTGCCACCATGCTCAGCTTGATTTCTAACATTGCCCGGCTTGATTTCTTTTTTTTACTGATCTCTTCATTACCAACATGAGCTAACATTTATTTTTGCAATGCGATGATAATTCAGACTGCTGTGGTTGCCAGTGACAGAAGACAAATGTGAACCTGTTTAAGCAAAAGAGGGAAAAGGGGAAATACGTTGGCTCAAGTAACCAAGGCATGGGAAGGGCCTTAGGGACAGCTGCAACTAAGATCCCCAGGTCCATCAGGCCTCCCTCTGCAAGCCCTGTGTCTGCTCTTCTCTCTGAAGGCCTTGTCCTCGTGGCCACCAGCAGCTTGATCTCCCAGCTTTGCCATTAGGATGGAACTGAGACTCACACTGTCAGGCCCTGATGTCTAAATTGCCAATTGGCTCTGTTTTCCTCAACTTGAATCACACACCCATCTCTGGACAAGTTGAATGCAGTCAAAGGTGTCAAGGGTTGGGCCCCAGGGAGCCCCTGTGCCAGGAAGAGGGCCCTACTAGAGCATGGTGGCCGCCATGGAGCCACGTGATTGGAAAAGGCCAAAGCTGATCTGCCAGAAGAAGAGAGAGGAGAGCTGGACAGGCAAGATAGCAGCTCTTTCCTGCCCTCAGTGTCTGTCTTCCTTGCACATAACATACATACAAGGTGTATGTACGTGTGTAAAACTTGGGTGAGGGCTGGGCACTGTGGTTCACACCTATAGTCCCAGCTACTTGGGAGGCTGAGGCAGGAGGATCACTGGAGCCCAGGAGGTTGAGGCTGCAGTAGGCTATGATAGTGCCACTGTACTCCAGCCTGGGCGACAGAGAGAGACTCCATCTCACAAAACAAACAAACAACAACAACAACAAAAAACAAAAAACTTGGGTGGGGAAACAGTCCTGGAAGAGGAATTTAAATCTGGGATCTATTCCCACCAACTAACTATATAACCATAGGCCAGTTAACTTCTCTTCTCTAGACCCTGGCTTTCCAACTTATATAAAGGCAATAATAGTACTTGTCTTTCTTGCTCCAGTGGGCCACTGCAAAGATAGAGTGGGTTGAATAGTGTCCCCCTAAAATTCATGTTTACACCTCAAAGTGTGACCTTATTTGGAAATAGGTTACTTGCAGATAAAATTAATTTCGGATCCTAAGAGGGAATCATCCTTGTTTTAGGGTGGGCCCTGAATCCAATGACTGGTGTCCTTAGAAGAAAAGGAGAGAGCACAGAAAGACTCAGAGAAAGGGGTGATGTGCAGATGGAGGCAGAGATTGGAGTGATGTGTGACAAGCTGGGGAAAGCCAAGGATTGCTGGCAGGCACCAGAAGCCAGGAGAGGCCTGGATGGTTTCTCCTCGACAGCCCTCAGAAGGGTCCAACCTTGCTGACACCTTGATTTTGGACTTCAGGTCTCCTGACCTGTGAAAGAAAAAGAGTGTTGTCTGAAGCCACCAGGTTTGTGGTAATTCATCACAGCAGCCCTAGGAGAGAGATTAATACCTAAGATAGAATGAAAAGTGTGAAAAATGCAGTGTCATGGGATCAAGGATGTTATTACAGCAAGCACAGTGATTACATAGGCTCTATGAAACTCACAGTTACTGTGCCTGATTCAGAGCACAGATCTGTGCCTATCTGTTGCCACACCTTAATCCAGTCAGCAGCCATCTTTCATTTGTGCAGGAGTGACCTGCAGCTTGGAAGTCAATGTTCAATGAGAGGCAGATGTGAAATGGCCTCAGTACCAGCTCAAGATTCTGTTTACTGAGTGTTTGCTACATGCCAGCCATTGTTCTAGGCACCCCATGAGCACACTGTGTGCTTGGTGCTCTTCTGCAGACAGGGGAAAAGGCACAACAATTAGTACATGGTTGAACTAAGATTTGAATCCAAGTGGTCAGGCTCCAGAACTTGTGCACTGACCGCCTCGCTATGCTGCTTCAAGGCAGAGGAATCATCCCTTCCTGATTCATTGGGCACAATACAGCTACCGCCAGAGCCCTGGGCTGCCAGCTGGTCCTTCCTCCTCCCTCTGTCTCTTTCCCCATTACCTAAGGGGAGAACAGGCTCTGAACTCCCACGTTCTCTAACCCAAGTCCTGCTCAGGCCAACCCCTGCCTTTCTTCCTCTCACTGGATGTCTAGCCCAGTAGCAAAATATCTTTTACATAGGGAAATTAGCTGGTTAGAAATACGAGCCAGCTATAATCCAGCTCAGGTGCTTAATGTCAGGTGGGACAGAATGAGGGCCTGGAGGAGCTCTGGATGGGCCCCAGGCTGGGTGGTAGATCCTGTTACTCACGGGGAGGCTGGGTTCCTGCAGCATCTGCAGAGCAGGGCTGCAGGGGGTGCCTTCTCAGTTTCTAAGCCCTGAGATTCCACATTTCTCAGATCCCCTTTTACAACTCTCACAACCAGAAACATCAGCTGCCTCTCAGCCTATACTCCCACCTCTGTGGACCCTGTCTGCACACCCAGCCTCTCTTGCCACAACCCAGTTCTGTCTGAATCCTGCAGAGGTTCCCAAGTGCCCACCAACCTTCAGGGACCTCATCCAGTTTAATTGCTTCTCAATTTCTCTCTCCAATTCTGACACACCCCTGAGCTTGATTCATGTATTCATGAATACATGTCCTTAGATATTTAGCAAGTGTGTGAAACCTAACATGGTCATAATTGTCCTGCCCTAGTCATCCCCATCTCAGCAAATGGCAACACAATCCATCCAGCTGTTTCAGCTCAAAACCCCGGAGTCATCTTAATTCCTCTCTTTCACTTTCTACATTTAATTCATCAGCAAATCAAGCTTAACTCTTCCTCCAGAATAGACCTGAATCTGTCTCCAGTGCCACAACCTTGATGGAGGCTATGCCGTCTCAAGCCTGGATAGTGCAGTCACCTCCCAACGGGACCCCCACTTCCAGTCTGGTCACTTTGGCTCATTCCCCACACAGCAGCCGGGTATCTGTGAACACCATAGATCAGTTTCGTTGTTCCACTGAAAACTTTCCAGTGACTTTCATGGAACTAAGAATCAAAGCCACAGTCCTCATGTGGCCCTCAGGGGCCTTCTCTCTGCCTCCTCTTTTATTTTTATTTTTTAAATTCTTTTGAGATGGAGTCTCACTCTGTTGCCCAGGCTGGAGTGCAGTGGCGCCATCTCGGCTCACTGCAACCTCTGCCTCCCAGGTTCAGGCGATCCTCCTGCCTCAGCCTCCTAAGTAGCTGGGATTACAGACATGCACCATCACGCCCAGCTAATTTTTGTGTACATATATATATATATTTTTGTTTGTTGGTTTCTTTTAGTAGAGATGGGGTTTCACCGTGTTGGCCAGGCTGGTCTCAAACTCCTGGCCTCAGGTGATCTGCCCGCCTTGGCCTCCCAAAGTGCTGGGATTACAGGCATGAGCCACTGTGCCCGACTCTCTGCCTCCTCTTGTGTGATGCTTTCCTCTTCCAGTTGCTCCACCGTCCAGCTGGGCTCTCAATCTGCCCCAGCCATGCCCACCATAGCTTTCCCACCCCAGGGCTGGTGCCCCTGCTGTCCCCATCCCCTGGAATTCTCTGCAAAGGTCCTCACGTGGCTGCCTGCTTCTTGTCATTGGGTCTTAGCTCAATTGTCACCTCCCCAAAGAGCCTCCTGGATCACCAGCCCCCTTCCAATCATACTCTAATCTATCCCCACTTGATCTTCTTTATTGCACTTATAAATAAAATTACTGTCCTTCCTCATTATTTGGGGTAGCTATGCTTTATAAAGTCACCATGAACACTGAGCTAGTGAGTACTGAACTATCGGGTAAATGGAGGTTAGGTTTTTGCAAGCCACTGGCAACAACATTTCCATCCATCAAGCAATATATAACCTTGTTTTATGTGTGTTTCTGCTTAAAGACACCTTAGTTAATACAGTTGACCCTTGAACAATGAGGGAGTTAGGGGTACTAACCCCCACTGTGCATGTCAAAATCCATGTAGAATTTTTGACTCCCCAAAACTTAAATTACTAATAGCCCACTGTTAGTTGGAAGCCTTACTGATAACATAAACAGTTGATTAACACTCGTTTTATATATGTATTATATATACTGTATTCTTATTACAGTAAAGTAAGCTAGAGGAAAGAAAATGTTATTAAGAAAATCATAAGGAAGAGAAAACATATTTACTATTCATTAAGTAGAAGTGATCATCATAAAACGCTTCATCCTTGTCTTCACCTTGAGTAAGCTGAGGAGGAGGAAGAAGAGGGGTTGGTCTTGCTGCCTCAGTGGTGGCAGAGGTGGAAGAGGTGGAGGTGTTGGAAGGGGCGGCAGGAGAGGCAGGCACACTTGGTGTAACTTTTATTGAAAAAAGTTTGCATATAAATGGACCTATGCTGTTTAAACTCGTGTTGCTCAAGAGTCAACTGTGTATACTGCTGATTCATTTGTAGTGAACTCACGGCCAACAGCACTAACTCACACCTGAACGAAGCTTATCTAACATACGTATTTTCTCTGTCGGGCCTGTCACTGCTTCCTTGCACTCAGAAACACGAGACAGCACTTCAGCACTAAGCTTGGGGGCCTTTTTAAATAGTGAACTCACCAAATAAAAACACAACAATGCAAAAAAACTGCAGCATCAAACAGACCGTGAAAAGGATGATTGTTTATGATATGAGAGCAGAAACAAGAAGGTCTCGAGCAACTCAAAATTACTGCTTCTCTGCACTTCCGCGAATGACTCCGAAAGTCTGTGAGTATTGATTTTGGTGTTTCAAGTAAGTTTCATTGAGTGGGCAAATTTGCAAATATGGAATCTGTGAAGAAGGAGAGTCAACCGTATTTTATTCAGTTGTTTTCCATCTCTCCTGAGTAGAATACACGCTCCAGGAGACCTTGTCTGTTTTGCTCCCTACCGTATGCCCAGCACCTGGCACAGTGCCTAGCATGCAGTAAGTACTCAGTACATATTGACTGAAAGGAAGTGGAGAAGGAAGAATAAAATAATAAAGTCCAGGCTCCTTTTCACTCCCGATGATTGGTGATGCCTGTGCAGGAAGCTCCTGCTCCCAGAGAGACCAGAGGGCCACTGCCCACCTTGTCCCTTCACACAATTATATACCATTTCAAACCACCACCATGGTTCTTTGGCTCCTTCCAGGCAACCTACGTCTTCCTTCCTTTCTTTGTCTCTCTACTGCCCATCTATACGAGCCTGCATGTGCCAGGGAGTCAGTGGCCCCATGCTTGGGAAAGACTGCCCGCCCTTGCTTTACGCTTTCTCAGCTTTCCCTCCTTCCCTCTAGGTGCTTCTTGCGTGGTGCAGGAACAAACGTGCCACCTCCTTCATCTGGCCAGCTCCCCAATCCCGGGCTGTCTGGTCCCCTGCTGTCTGGCTCCTCCCTTCAGGTTCCTGCCAGTCCTCCCAAGACTTCTTGACATTTTCTTCTTCCTTTCCTGGGACTCAAATTCCACTCCATCCCCTCCCCTTTTCTTTGTTCTGACCCATAATAACCTTAATACAACCACCACCACCATAATGGTAAGGACTAATGTACTCCTGCCTAGGAAGAGGGTGAGTATTTATTTTGTGCACTAACTCTCAGATGTTCCAGAAAATGTTTCCAGATCTTGTCTCTGCCTCCCGGTCCACATTAGGCCTGATGAAAGGATGTGTGCTGTGGAATCAAGGTAGAAAGCTTTTCCCCCCAGTCATTACCCCCCGCATCTCTGCAGCGCTTGACCATCTAGCACGCCCCTGTGTAGAACCATTCGCATCTAGCGTGACCCTCCTGGGAACCCGGGAGGCAGACAGGGCAGGCATAATAACCTCCTTTGTCAGATGAGTCACGAGATGAGTCACAAGAGGCGACAGAAAATCAAGGAGTTTGCCCAAGGCCACGGAGCTCCGAAGAGCTGGATCTGCGCATTCCTGGCTCTGAACCAGGATCAAGTGCCCCTGCAGGCCTGAGACAACCCACAATCGGCCTGTTTGAGTGTCCAGTTTAGACTCCAGACCAATGGGAGTTTGCCAAGATAATAAGTTCCACATAACAAAGCCCACTGTGTGTGCCACGGGAGAGCGTAGGAGAAGGCACAACAGCAGCAAACGGTGGTTATTAAATGTTATGTTTACATAAAACTCCATTGGTTAGAAAATTCCATTCTCAGGTGCGATTTCATTTGATCTCATGGCAGCTGATTATTGTCTCAAGATGTGGAAACTGAGGAAATGTGACCCATCTGGCTAGAAAGGAGCTGAGCTGGGGTATTTCCCTAAGATTCCTGTTTCCTATGCCTGGATCCTTCCCCCTCGAAGACTGATTAATAACTATGATCAGCTTGCTTCTCTGCTCGAAGATTCAGGGGTTCTGGCCTGGGTAGTTTGCCAGCCCATTTCTCAGAACAATGTGGGAGGCAACAAGGGCCTAGAAAGTGGTTTCGAGGAAATGTGGCCAAGAAAGAGGGCCTTGGGGATGGAAGAACTTGGCAAGGAGATCTGAGCTGGCCTGCTGGATCCAGAGCAGTGTCAGGCAGGCAGCCAGGTGGAGCCTGGATGCGAGCTGCTGCCCGGGCGACTGAGGATGGAGGCAGCACGAGTCTCCAGCATCCTTCTGCCAGCAGTGAAATGTGCTCTGAACCTTTCCCTGAGCTTTGTGCCTCCCTCTCTAGGCAGCCCCTAGGGATTAACCCCTGCCCCAAAGCCCTTCAGCATCGCCACAGCTAATCTCTGTGATGCCATCTGCACATGTCAACATGTGACTGTAATGGTGGCAGAGCTTGTGTCCCATCTCTAGGCCCCTTTCCAGTCTACCCAGTAGACACATTCTGCAAACACTAGCTGACTGATCCCACCCCTTTGTCCTGCTTTCTTGTGCAACCTGGTTGTGGTTCCATGGTGTGACTGCACAGTGGGTGGGAAAGGGGGCAGCTCAAATAATGGACAACTGCAGTCAGTGAGGAAAGGAAGGGCACGTGAATTCACAGAGCACCACAAATGTTATTTTGTTCACAGACCTTGCAGACCCCACCCCATGCTGCACTGGGAGGCTGGTTCCTCGGGAAGTCTGGTGGCCCCTGTGCAGATGTCTTAGGCGCCCCTGGCCATGTTCCCTTGGCTCAGTGTTCAGCTGCCCTGTGGCAGGTGGCTCCTGCTCCGTGGGACTCACGCTTACCCCAGGCAGCATCTTTCCCACACCTAGGGCCTTTCAGCTTCAGGCCTTGAGGCTTCTCTGGTGCCATGGGAGCCTTTTCCACCCACTGCAGGGGCAGCCCTTAACCACCGGGGGATGGTCGGTGGATGCCTGGTCTCCTGGCCTTCAGGGCACAGTTCTGGGATGCCTTGGCGGGCTGAGCTTCCACACCCTACAGTTTGCTACTCACATCTCCTCCTCTCTAAGAACATCTTGTGCAGTGCCTTGGCAGGAGGGACAACAAGGGGACATGGACCACCCCCAGGGGCCTGGCTCCTTCCCATTCCTCATTTCCTCCTTCGTGGTTCTCATGACAGGGCAGCCTTCATGAGGTGCCTGCGTTTTACTGCTCTTCTGTTGCCGACTTGAAATTCGTAATGCTCTTTGAACAGGGAGTCGCATTTTCATTTTGTACTGGGTCACACAGACAACGTAGCTGGTCCTGCCTGGTAGTTTGCTGCTTGGGGAGAGGCCTCTGTAAGTGATGAGAGCAAAATGAGACCTGTCCTCTGGCCAAGCTGAGCTCATTGTTTCTTCCCTCCTCTGAGCACAACAGAAACCCAGGCACAGTGGGAGCTTTTATCAGGGTCCCTGTGACAACGGCGCATGGAAGTTGGGGGCTGGGGGGAGACAGGCCTTAGGGGCCAGGGGGAGACAGGCCTTAGGGGCCAGCTGGTCCATCCCCCAACCAGAGTGGGTTTTCCCACCCAGCACCCTGGCACAGGCTCACCCAGCCTCTTTGTGAATTCTTCTAGTGACAAGAAAGGGCCTTTTTTTATTTTATTTTATTTTTTTATCGTGGACTCGAATTGTCATTGCCCCTCACTCTGGTGAAGTGTTACAAGGTTCTCCAAACCCTTCCATGAGGATTATCTCACTGGATTCTCACCACCCTCTCCTTGTGCAGCAGACATTTTCTAAAGAGTGGAAATTAAGGAAATTCCGGTAATTTTCAGATTAGCAGCCCTTGCACCTCCCACTCAGCCTTTTCCCTTCCTTCAACCAGCGATGGAAATCTCACCTAGGAAGCCTTTCAGCCTGTCAAAAAAGAAAAAATGCCTCCTAATTCCTTGTACTAAATTATTCCCTCCCCGCTCCACCCTGGGCTGTAGGTAATGTAATGTCTTTTTTCAGATGTCCTTCACTTTGAATAACAGTCAGAAAATGGCATGAGGTAGGCAGCCTTTTCATAGGCTTGTTAAATGTATTAGACCCCGGTGGAAAGATGGGAGAATAAAGGAGGATCACAGAGCCTCCCTCTCCTAGTGATGACGGTAGAGCACACACCTTTTAAAGTGCCAGTCAAGGAAAGAAACAGAGGCTTCTAAAAGGCTGTGGCTTTTACGCCACCCCCACCTGGAGGAAATACGCCCACCAAGAACATCCTGAGCACTTCACCAATACCTGTCAGTTAGGAAAGCGACTGCCAGAGGGGATGGGCAGGGACGGTACCCAGAGTGGAGGTCCCCACCAGCTTTAGCTTATGTCTTCCAGTGGGCTGCAGGGTTGAGGGGAAAAGCTGGAGCCCATGCCAGGAGCAACCCAGGCAGAGGAAGCCTCACCATGAGGCCCCCCTGGGGTACACTGGCAGACAGACACACACACTGAGCCTTGAGATGTCTGAGGCTGAGGCTGTGGCAGGAGCCCCTGGAAGGAGACACATGTGTCCACTCCCACAGGCCCAGTGCTCCTCCTGCTAATGCAGCTTACAGCAAACCCTCAGATCTTTACTTTCACTTGCTTCTTGTCTGTGGTTTGCAGATTCCTAGTACCTATGCTCTGCCCACCCATGCCTGCCCCTCCTCTCCTCCCACTCTCCCCTAACAGTAAATACCTTTCAAATGAGAAACCCTCTGAGCACCCCTGCTTGCTGGCACCCTCTGTGCTAGAATCTCCTGCTGCAGTCAGACAGGTACCTGGGCGGGGGGTGAAGGGGAGCTGGAGCTGGGCTGGTGAGGTAACCCTGCTGTCCTTCCTCTCCAAGGCCTAATAAAGAGGAAGACAGAGTCTGAGGCAATGCTTCCTGTGACACCAGGTTTCTGCATCCCTCAGACATCGCTCCAATGACAATTTCAATTATTATTCCTGATCGGACATGGCACAGATTCTGAAGGCTGGCTTTCAGTAATCAGCTGTTCCATTTCTCTGCCTCCAAGAAGAAATGCTTTATTAATTCCACATTCATTAACTCATTCATTCCCTTGCTTTTTCTAGCCATCCTTTGGGAAAACAAGGACGGGTCTTCTTTATAATAAGCTAGCCCAGAACCACTCTGAATATCGTAATGCCTGAGCAGCCATCTCCATATCCATGAGTTGCTGTTTATGCCAAGCTTCCCACCAGATGATGGTTTGAAGTATTTCCAAATCTTCTCTAAGAGAACTGTTCCATAACCTCATCATGGCCCTGAAGCCTCTCTCTCTTGGAATTCCCAATTTCTGGTGTTACTCTGAAGTTCCGTGAATGGTGGGCTGGACAGCTTGTTGGATATTTGTCTGGGGAATCAAAGGCTCTTAGGGCCAGATGGGGCTTTGAAACATCACCTGCTTCTCATCTCCTCACCCCCACCCCCAGCAGGGCAGAGTTTCGAATACACACCTGCTAATCCAGCTTTGCCTCGTTTCTTTGTGCTCTACCATGATAACCTCAATAGCCATAAGCAATATCTTATTCTAATCTGCCCACTTCCTTCTGATACCCACTAAGAACTGAGCACCCAGAACTTACCACTGGAAGGTAAAGTGTCAATTCTCAAGATATAAACTTCTGAGACTTCTGCAACTAGAAAGGAGAAAGGTTTTCAAAATTACTTTCAATTTCCTGAAGCATTAGGACACTTTCAATGTAGTTTTATATTTAGAATCATATGAATTATACAGAGAACCGTGGGCTGGTGGACAGCTTCCAAATACTAGAAATTATATTTCCCTCCATTTTGATAATTAGTTCAAGGTCTTCACCACAAGTGACATCATGTCTCAGAAGCAAAAATAGGTCCCTATTAAGCCTATGTAATGTCTTGTCTAGTAGATCTGATTTCCTCTTTATGCCCCCGTCTCCTCACCTTCCTAATTGGCGCTCCAACCTCAAAGCTTTTTCTCACTGCTGTCTGGAGCCTTAGATATATTAAATATAGTCTGACTGTGTGGGGTTAGGGACTTGGCTATGCTGATTGCATGTGTCTAACTTAAAAACCAAGAGACCTAGGGCATGATAACAGCTCATTGCAGCCTCAATTCTCTCAGGCTCCAGTGATCCTCCTACTTCAGCTTCTCGAGTAGCTGGGACCACAGGTACACACCACCATGCCTGGCTAATTTTTTTTTTTTTTTAAGTAGACACGGGGTTTCACCATGTTGGCCAGGCTGATCTCCTGTCAGCCTGGTGTCAAACTCCTGGGCTCAAGTGATCCTCCTGCCTTGGCCTCCCAAAGTGCTGGGGTTATAGGCATGAGCCACTGCATTGGGTATGCATGGAACACATCACTTGCAGTTTAGGCACATCTCAATATGAGAATAACTTACATCCTCTGTTAAACCCAGTTGGGGTGAGATAAACACAGCCTCCTTACTGCACATTCAGTACAATGTGCCAGTGTCTTATGTGCTTCCTGTATATAATCTCACTTAATACTGAAAAGAAGTCTTGGCCAGGCATGGTGGCTCACGCCTGTAATCCTAGCACTTTGTGAGGCCAAGGTGGGCGGATCATGAGGTCAGGAGTTCAAGACCAGCCTGGCCAACATGGTGAAACCCCGTCTCTAATAAAAATACAAAAATTAGCCAGGTGTGGTGGTGCACACCTGAAGTCCCAGCTACTCAGGAGGCTGAGGCAGGAGAATCACTGAACCGGGACCCGGGAGGCAGAGGTTGCAGTGAGCCGAGATCACGCGGCTGCACTCTGGGCTGCAGAGTGAGACTCCGTCTCAGAAAAAAAAAAAAAAAGAAGTCTTTGAGCGTTTCCCATTTAACACATAAGGAGAGTGAGGTTGAGAGGATAAGAAACTTGCCAAAGGGCCAAGGTCGAATTGAAGTCCCCGGTTCTGCTGCTCCTGGGCTCCTACTTGGACAAGCCCTTAACACTTGATGGCGCCATGACAGAGGGATATTCGGGCACTAGTGGCCATCGTGGCCTAGAATTTATTACCTACTCTAGTTCCACACTAGAATTCAGAAAAGAAAGAAACTATTATGAGATTGAAATCTGTATCCCCTTTGGTCTAACATAAAAATGTTCTTTTTATCTTCTACTATATAGGGCAAAATTTTTAAAATGCACTTCACTTCCACATCCAAAAAAAAAAAATAATTAATTTCAGGGCTTTTTTCATGGTTAATTGTATCTCTGCAGCAGCTGAGAGGAACATTAATAAAAATTATCTTTTGGGGTTTTGGGATTATTAAAATTGAGGATAAGGATGTTATGGAAGCTTTAGCTTCTAGATCCATCGCCCTTTTAACAAATATACTTGTTCCTTTAGATTTCACTCTTATTTACGAAATACATAAATCTGAACCAAAGCAATATGCTGTTTTGGGGAAAATATATGAATGCAAATAAAAGAAAGCTGATTCTAGTCCCCACAATTCTACTAAGTAGCCATTTGATGCTACCAGCAATGCACCAAAATTGTATCAGAGTGAAATCTGCCATCCCAAAACAAGGTGACTACTTGCTCTGAAATTCTAAGAGCCAATCAGTCATGCATCAATCGGTGCCAAAAATAATATAATGTCCAAACAAAACCTCCATTCTTTTAGCTAGGTGTCCATTTGATTAATGTGACTTATACGAATGAGGGATGGATCAACAAATCTAATCCTCTTAAGGTATTTGGGAACTCGAAATATTTCTAACTAATGGAAATTATGGGCAAGCCTGCCAAAGGGCAAGAACTCTTTTAGACCCATCTAGTGTTCTTTATTCAAATAGCTTAGGAATTTTTTTTTTTTAACTGTGGTAGCTGATCTTCAAAGACAGCTCCCAATGAAGCATGCCTCTCAGTATTTGATAGTATTCTACCCATTTATAGACCTTCCCACATTGAATCTGGACTGGCTCTGTGACATGTTAACTAAAGGAATATAGCACCAAAAGTGACTCTGTGCCAGTCTTGGACCTATGCCATTAAGAAGTCCTGGTACCTTCTACTTCTGTGAGCCCTGAGCTGCCATTGCTGCCACTGTCCCACACTAAATATATCAGAATTCAATACAGCCAACGCAGGCCCAAATGCACCATTTCTAATGCCATCCTTTGTCCTTACTGAAACAAGCATAAATCAGAGAAACACAAAAAGCCTGATTGTGGGCTAAGATGCCTTGATTGAAAGAAGCTTCTGTGTCATCAATATTTTGAATTGTCCCTTTGTCACCCTGGAGGGGCATCCCTACTGGCTGAGGTATGCCTTTCCTCAGTAAAATGGGCAGTTATCTGAAATGGGAGGTGGGATCTTTTACAGGTGAGTTCCCAGGGAAGACACTCTGGGTCAGAGTTCTCATGGAAGTTGATTTCTTCCTTGGAAGTGTTTGTGTATCAAGGATATATGTACCTGTTTGTGGACAGCAGGCTCTGGTCTTCCTTTTGTCTTCCAGCACTCCTGGCTTCCTCTTCCTAGCACTCCAAGCTCTTCTGATCTCTCCACTTCTAGGTACCTATTTGCTTTTCCCTCAACTGTCCATCAGCTGGCCCTGATAGTGTGCACTGCTAAGAAACTGAAGGTAAGACCCTTTTCAGGGAGATTTTCCCATCAAAAATGCAACAAGGAAATAAAGATGCAACCACTGATATTTTAAGGGAAGTATCCCAGTGCCAGGTTTTTTCAATGACACCACACAGACAGCTGCTACAATCAAAGAATGGCTGAGTGTTCTCTTGCCTCGGTAAGTCAACAGTGAGAACTTTACCATCTCCATCTCTAGTGCTCCCACACCCAAAAGGCAAAAAGTATTCCAAAGTGGGGCACTAAAATCTTTCCAGGGGAGAACTCAGAAATGAGCTCTGTGATGTGCTCCTTGCTCACTAGTAGAAAACATTGTTCCAGTTTCTTCCTTTGTACCTACTAGAGAGTGCTTTTCTGATCATGAAAGGGGCCCATCTCATTTCCAGCGGTTAGCCAACCCTCCTCCCACGTTCCATATGTCTGTCTGTTTCTATGTGATCTGAACTGTTGAGACTTGGTTTATGTTTCTCAAGCCTCTAGGAGTTAAGAACAAGGTTACCCAGATCCTGAGAGGTAAAAATTTATTGATTTCTATCATATCAGCATGTTATGATATGGTCACGCCTGCTCATACAGCTGACTTCTTAGAGCCAAAAGAGAATTTTTTTCCTTTTAAAAATACATTTGTTCAGCAGGAAAAAACATTTTAAAAACAAGCATTTTCATATTAAGTGGAAATTAAAAACAATGGCTTTCCCCCCGCCAACTCATGAGGAATAGGGCTGGTCAGCAATAGATCTCTGAGTGCTTCCAATTTGTTTTCAGGCCTCTGTCCCCAGTCTGTTCCTTGTCTTCCACAGAAAGTAGTTCCAGGGGAAAAAGAAATTAGAATCTCACCAAAACAGCAGCCTAAATACAGATAGAAAAATAAGAGGTAGACACGACTGTAACGATTTAACTCATTTGGTAGACTGTGCAAGATATTTTAATATTTAAATTTTTCAGTGGGATTTAAACAATTGTTTAAACATCAATAAAACAATTGATGTTTTAAATGCTAACATCTTAGAGATGCCTATACCACAGTTTACTTAGCTTTGAGAAATGAAAAGTATAAAGACAACTTTAGAAATATGCAAGCTTCCCATGTATTTCAGTAAATGTTTTCTTTCTGTCACATTCTTCTAAATCAAAAGTTCGCTGTGTAGGACTGACATTAATGCTTTTCCTACCCTTTAAAGCCCTGGCCAGGGTCAGTGATAGGAATTTCCTGAGTTCAGCAAGTAGATTAACTATGAGAAGTTTATTCAACACTAATAGTTAAGAAAAAAAGGATGGGGCAGTGGTGTGCTGGATACAGCCCCTACTGATTCCCAAGACCCAGTGGTCACATTTTAGAATTTTGCCTGCAGTTGTTAAGCATTGGTTATGAAAATTGAATCATATAAATTTACAATTAATGTTAAAGCTAAAAGTGGTTTCGGCTTAATGAGTCTAATATGTACCATGGTAAGAAACAGTTTTAACAGTAGATCACGTATCAGATTGAATGATAATAAATTTATTGGGAAATGAGTTAGATTTGGACAGTCTGCCATTTTTCAAATCACAGTTGAAAGACAATCAATCATAGGTTGACTGTAGGAGTTGAGCAAAAAGCAATTAAGTATCCTTTTAAAAAAGCATTTTAGTTCTTTCCTGAGCAACTAAGTATACTGTGAGAATCAACTGGCTATATGGGATTTACAATAAAGTATTTGTATCTTATTATTTGTTAATTGTGTTATATGTTCTTGCTATCAGCAAAATTTATAACAAACATGTATAGTTGAATACATAATTTTCTCCCAGAAGAGTGAACTGCTAAACATTTACCAGCACACCACTGGATTGGGAGAATGGGGAGAAAGGGGGAAATATTTTTAAACCAAAGAAGGAAGTCTGATGTTTTTTCATTTGGTTTTTCAGTTTGCCTTCAGCATCCAACTGCCACAGTGTGCTTTAAGTACTTGCCTGCAGATATTAATGCCCAAATAGCTCTGGTAAAACACACATGCCCCATCCCCACTGCTAAGAATTAAAAGCACTTTAATTGAAAAAAATCAACTTTATTTTTTCTAGGTTTAAAAAAAATAGAACCAGCTATTAATTTTTGTTGAGAAAATGCTTCTTTTGGTGTTCACATCTAAATTTCTGAAAAGGTGATCTGGTTACCAAAATCATCCCAAATGCATTCATAAACCAGATCCACGTGTGACCAGCCCTTTACAAAAATTAATTACAGTTGCCACAGCCTTTACATTCATTCTTATCACACGTTACAACATGCAGATAACACAAAGAAAGGTCAACAAGCTGAAGTAAACATTACAGCATCAGGAAAATGAAAACCCATCTGTATAAAATAAATACAATTTTATAATAACTGTAAAGAAAATGAAAGCACTTAATAAAAATAATGGCAGTTGAAAGTATAACTGTCTCATCACCCGATCATAAAATAAGTTACTGTAAAATGCATAGACTCCTTACACGTAAAGAATTTGTGCATCACAGTCATGTGTTCAACAGTTTTACACAATAAAAATAAAGCCATTCAAGATATGTGTGCATACTTTGCAACTAGAATACACTTAAAAAACGTTTGCTCTTTAAACTGTCTTAAAAAAATATTAAATGTAAAAACCCTCAGATGGAAATTTTGCAGAAAAACCCATATTTTATCTTCCATGTGGCTACAGTCACCCTTCCCCAACAGTTCAGCACCCTCAGCTTATTCCCAGGGTCCAGTTCCTAATTGTTGGGGATTGGCGCAAAATGATTACAATAAAGCACCAACCAATGACTGCTCCAGAGAATGCCCAGCCCCTCTGTGATCTGGAAATCTCTAACTTAGATGGTTTTGGTCCCAAACATATTAGTCTCTACCCTTCCTGCTATCCACTGCTGCTTTTGACTTTGTCCTTCATATTAACAGATATAAGGCTCATAGCACTGCAGAGCAAAAAAACATAACAAACCATTTTTATCCATCCTCTGTGGACCAGAGCTGAACACACTCATAATGGTAACTCTGGAGTGAAGTCCTGTGTAATGACTTCAAAAAAAGAACAAAGAAAACAATTAACTCTTCCTACTCAGTAGTGCAAATAAAACATTTTCTTTTCAAATATAAAAATAATCCAAGAAGACTATCCATGATTAAAGGCTACTCTCTATGATTAACCAGGTCCAACTAGTTCAGAAGAGTCTTTAAGGAAGTGATTGTCAAAAAACACTCAGACAAATCCACAAGAAGTGGGCAACATGAGCAAAGAATGAAGACGCTTCTTAACATGAATCCAAGACAGCAACACTAGAATAATGTTCCCAGGTTTACATTTGGTGATTTCAGATTTCATTTTCATAAAAAGGCTTGAGAACAATGCCAATACTGCCAATTTTTGATTATTCAGGGATGCTTTTCTAACCCATAGATTATTCAGGCTTCTGTATTTCCTCTTCCTGATAGCTGTCTTTCCGCATCATTTCACTACTCATTAACACAGTCATAAATATATAGGCAAAAAACCCCTAAGAAACAACTTAAATCATTTAATTAGTAAGCGTCCCTAGAAAAAAAATGTCTGATGAGAGTAAGAATTCAAACTCCTAAATAAAAGTAATTTTTGATTTACCTATCATTTATTACCAGATTATCTATCCAGAAAGTAATCAATCTAGTAATCCTTCCTTTATAGTGGAAAGTTAAGGATTGGTTGTAATATTAAAGACCAATAAGATAGATCTGAACTCATAGCTATCTTCTTTTTTAATATACTTTTGGAATTCTCAGTGAATTTGTTTGCTTGCCCAAAATATTATTTTCCATTCTGTAATTTTTCTTTACCTTCCATTACTTACAGGTTTCTCTGCAATTTAAGTACAGTTCACCACCAATAATTGTTTCTGAAGTTAAGGGTGACCTGCTGGCTTGGTCACTTTTGCAGTGACTGGACCTGCCTGTGGCCAAGCACATGTTCCATCACTGTAACTCATCAATACCAAGATTCCAGCAATGGATTCTCAACCTTGTCTGCTGTGGGAATCTAGGCAGTCTAGCCAAGACCAAGAAGAGCTGAGCTTCTACAAGCTATTGATATAAAACTGGCATAGTTTTATCTTCTTTCCTCTTGACAAAATATATATACTTTAAACGTCCTTTCATCTCCCTTCACAAAGTACAAATTAGGAACTTTTCTTCAGTTTTGTACAGTGGCATATTGCTGCTTCCCCAGATTGCCATATAAGAATACTGATTCTCTCTTTACCTTCTCTAGTGCAAGCAGGAGAACTCCAGTTACTGATAAGGAAAGCACTACCAATGCTTTCAAACATATTTTGCAAACAGAAGAGAGAGAACATGTTAAAGAATCAAAGAAGGATAGGGCAGATCAAATACACATCTATTTACAACTCACGGAGATATTTAAAAAAATTAACTCACATATCTATTGGCATTTGTCACCCTGGAGACTGTGAAAATGACACCGTACTTGAAAAGTAAAGCATCTTATAGAATAGTTTAATGTGTACAGTATATTTAACAATATCATGTTCCTTTGGAGCACAGTGATGGCAAAAGTGGCCCTCAGCCACATTTATGTATGCATGTTCGCATTTATTTTTGGATAGGAGAACTGGTCACTCTACCCTGTGGCTTGCTGTAGCAATGAGGAAAAGGTCTATCAGCTAGGACCGTGCATGCTGTATTTGACAGTGAGCAACTTCTCCCCCAGATGGTTGACTAATCCCTCAAGTGAACAATTTCATTTCATCCAGTAATTTAGTGGTGCTTGCTGGGCCTCAAACAGAAGCATCATTAAGCTTCTATTGGGCTTTCTGTCATCATCCATACCTCTAAATTGAGATTGGTTTCATTTATTCACCGACACTGTAGAACACATAATGAAATGCTTAGATTTAAAAAAAAATTGCATTTTATAACAACCAGTCCCCAAACCAAACACATTAACACTGTCTTCTGCATTTTACCAGTAGTAGTATAATATTCAATGAGGTATTTCAGTTAATGCATCATTCTCTTTCACATATGCACTGAGTTATCGTAAAGATGAAGCTGCTGTGGGCTTTTATTTGGTGTTGCTTTACCTTTCCCACATAACTGGGGAAAATTCACATCTTTTCTGTTTTTTTTTGGTTTATTTAAAAATAGAAAACAGCAACCTTTTTTTGTTTTATAGCCTACTTCTCAAAATTGTTGTGTGATTAGTGACAACGGGGGAATCTACAATGCTCACATCACAGTAAACTACCACTGACTTACTAGGATCTTAATAGTCTTACAATCCCAAACAAAAACCCTACTCATCTCACTGATGCAGTACCAGCACTTTTGGAGAAGGGTGTGGTTCTCTTATGAGGTAAATTGTACAAACATCGCAACAAATTTCTAAAAAATGTTTTCTAGAAATAGAAACTTGACTTTACCCTCTTCAAAAGCAACTGGAGGCCGGGCGTGGTGGCTCACGCCTGCAATCCCAGCACTTTAGGAAGCCGAGGTGGGCAGATCACCTGAGGTCAGGAGTTCGAGGCCAGCCTGGCCAACATGGTGAAACCCCATCTCTACTAAAAATACAAAAATTAGCCAAGCATGATGGTGGGTGCCTGTAGTCCCAGCTACTCGGGAGGCTGAGGCAGGAGAATCGCTCGAACCCGGGAGGCAGAGACTGCAGTGAGCTGAGATTATGCCACTGCACTACAGCCTGGGTGACAGAGTAAGACCTGTCTAAAAAAAAAAGAAAAAAGAAAAAGCAACTGGAAGAGATTGGGGGGAGCCTTATGTGCTGGTATCGTTCCTAATTACACTCACCCTGACAGGGGCAGCTCCTTGATGTAATGATTCAACAGACTACTGTCTGCACAGGTCCTAGGGGTGCCACATGAGAACCTGTCACCATTATAAGCCACTAGCTCTTATTTTTCTATAAACTAGCCTATTTCCCCTTAAACTGATCATTTAAATGTTCTATAGTAATTTGTTTTAACCATCCCCAAATGCATTTAGTGCCAATGTCAAAATGGAAAAAATAAAGCCTCTGAGCTGCAATAGAGGCATCACGTCAGGGTGGTGTCCAGGGCAGGATGGCGCTGGAGAGCACTGGCAGGCAAATAAACACACAGAGACAAGACAGTTCTCGAGAACCTCACACACTGCTATGCTCCCATTTGTTTTCAGGCTATATTACTAATCCTTTGCTATATCTGCATCTCAAAAAAGTGCATTTTGCAAAATTATCAATTTATGATATGCCTCTGATACAAAATGAGAAGTCAGATAAGGAAAAGCACGAGTGTATGTAAACACAGTGTTGGACTGAGCTAGCCTTTGTAAAGAACACATCCAGTACCAGAAGGGGTCCAGTGGACACTGCTTTTCCCCCACAGAGAATGTCAATATTCTAGAGTTTGTTACTGCAACAGACTGGAGTTTGTTACTGCAACAGACTGGAGTTTGTTACTGCAAACGACAGGGAAAGAGTTCTTCACGAGGTGCCAACCAGCTCCCCTCAAGTTTACTGAGTTGGTGGAAATGTGGGCGTTCTAGAGAACTGCCCTAATATAGACTACAGCTAAGAGGGATGAATATAACTTTCTGAGCTTCAACTAAATTGTCAAGTATAACTGGTGGCAACAGAATTTCTCTCAGATAGTCTTCTAGGATGATTTTATGATTTCCTCTTCTCCAAATGTGATGTTTGCTTAAATATGTGATAGAGTGTATCTTTTTAAAACATGTTCTTAAAATATATTAGCAGGTCATTATATTACTAATCCTCATTTTAGTAGATTTTAAAATATCCCAAAGGGGGATAAATATTAATCCATCCATTGAATTTCTTTTGCTTTTTTTTAAATATATTCTGATTTGCACATGTAAAATAATGCACACTTATGAAAGAAAGTCTGAACTCCTACGGTGACCTTGACAAGTCCACGTCAATTCCTAAAACAGGCAATGGTAAAAATACTGAATGATGTTGTACCACATATAGCCTGACAAAAATGCAAAAGACTGTATGAGAAATATCCACAAGTTGCTGAGGGTCATCTCCCTGGAAACAGCTTCCTTATGGCCCTTGGAAGGTGGAAAAGCTCCTAAAAGACAAGATAGAAATATTAGTTTGTTTTACTGTAATGGTAGGTCTCCTGGAATAAAAGTTGAATATTAGCTTAACTACATTTGTACATGTTAAAGCACCTTCAGTGACTTTCCAGTGCCCCAGAGGAGAGATTTTATTTGAAATACAATTTCTGTACTACCTAGCCCCTTCTTGCCTCTGAGCCTTTGCCTTTTCTCTGCCTGCAATGCTGTCCTCCTCCACTTAATGAATAGCTGGCTCATGTGCATCCTTTCCATATCAGAAAAGATATTCCCCCTCCCATCTCTGTTTATCTCCTTCCTGGAACTTTTTCCAATTGGTCATGATCCCAATTATCTTTCTTTCTGCAGACTTGTTTGCCATGTCTCCCACTGGAATATAATCTGCATGAGAGCAGGCACTCTAGCTGCCTTGTCTCTGCTGGATCCCTAGAGATTCCCACAGTGATCAGGACCCAGGATTATGTGAGATTGACATGAAATAATTTCTGAAATAGCACACTTTATGCTGATTCCTCTATTTACAAATTTTTTGTCAAAAAAGTAGTTGTATAACACTGACATTATTTTTAAAAGGCAATATGCTTTATGAAATGTATCTTAATAATAAAAGAAATACAAAGTAAACAGATGTCTTTAAATTCGTTTCTGGAAAGGAATGCTAGATAACTTCATACAGCAATATTACCTAAGGTCATCTTGATAACACTCATCAGCATTTCAAGCAGTCTTTGTCCTTGCTGATAATCCCCAGGGTAAGCTGATTCATGAGGGGATTTGCTTCTCACAGGCAATTTACAGAGTGCATTTTCAAGTTTCAAGATCTAATATGCAAACAGCTTTCTTTAAAAGAGGCTTTCATTACTGTTGCTATAATTTAGCAACTATTTAAAGGTTACTGTGTACCTGTTTCATAAAAATGTGATAAGAGGTCTTCTTTTTCAACAAACCGCTGATAGAGCCAAGTGGTAAGGTCATCAGTCTCCAGGGGTACATCTTTAATTGGAAAGATCCTATTAAGGGTTAGAAGAAAAGAACAAAAACTATTTAGTTCAGAAGTCAAAATCATTCAGAACCACAACTTATGATGAAAAGCTGAATAAAATTGTGTTGTCATCTTTTGCTTTAACAAGGGTTGGTTTCTTCAGCTTTTCAGGTATCTTGGTTATTAAAAATTGTTGATTACACAAGAGAGTTAATTTATGCATTAATTCAAACATTTACTAGTCTACTATGTTTAGGTCCAGTGTTAGATGCTGAAAACATACTATTAAATTACCTTATATCTATGAATAACTACAGAGAATAATTATGTCTTCCCATGTTTGTGGGTTTAAGTAGAAATGGTATTTAGAACAGATGAAGTTTTAAAATGCAGTTAAATCAGGATGTTCAGTCATTTAGTTAAATGTCAGGCAATATTCTTTTGGTGGGAAAGTCTGAGAAGCACAGAGACTCTGCCCAAATCGGTAATATCAGTAGTATCAGAGATACTGCTTTCATGAATAGGGGTAACTTTTACCGGTTGGGAGTGGCTACCAGAACACTATTCTCAAGATCTGAGACCATGTCCTGACTCACCAGGAAACACGATTGTGATTAGTGATACCCATGGACTGAGAGGGGACAGGCAGCATGAGGACTACATATTTGCTGACCTTGAAAAATAGTTTTATTTTTTGTTTTCTAATTTAGTGGGGGATTTTTTGTCCCCTTTATCAAAGGTATAAAGGCACATGGTTTAAAAAGTCAGCAAAAAATATATTTGTATGAAAAATGGGAGTCCTGTCCCTCTTCCCTTCATTTCTGCCCTCCCCAGAATTGATTATCACCTCTTTTAGCTGATTATCTTGGTATTTATCACCATGTTTCTTCTGTTTTAGGCCTTCTCTACTGACTTCCCAGTATGGAAGATGAGGATGAAGTTCTTTCCTCTTCCTATTCCCATAACATATGCACATTCTTCCCATCTTCCCAATACAATTGTAGAGTAATTTCAGTTAGCTCAATATTAGGCATTTATATTAATACAATCATGTAAATATATTCATTGCTAAGCCACGGAGTAAATCGTGGCTACTTTTCCTTTCTTTACCAATTTTTATTTTCCCTGGATTGAGAAATTATGTATCATTTTTCATTTGCTTAATTTTCCATGTACATGTAACAAATTCAACCACAAACTCTCAGGCAATTGTCTATAATCAATGCTCTAAATCAGGTCTGTAAGCTTTTTTTTAAAGGGCCAGACAGAAAATATTCTACGCTTTGCAGGTATAAAAATAAATAAAATTTAAAAGCTATTGGAATCCCCAAAACACTTTAAATCTTGAGAGAGATGTGACCTTGATCTGAGTCACGAAGCATGTAGTTGCAACTTCTGCTTCTTATAGATTAATTCTCCTCCTCATTGTTCTTGTTCTGTAAATGACTAGGAGACACCAGAGACCAGACCTCCTGCCCTTCTAATCTCTGACCTTTGTTAGAGATTAACTACCTCCTTTATTGTCCTGTACCTAACTCAGACCAGATGGTACAAAAGACCCCACGACAGTTACACCTTCGGTGGGGAATGCTAAATATACCTTTCTGGAAAGAAAAAGACCACCTTGCCCAATCAGATCACTGTAACTATGCATTAAACCTTATGTAGAAAGGTGTTGAAATTTTGTTAAGCTTCCCTAAACCTTTTCTATATAAACAACCCCAAACTTCTACACTTTGGAATACTGACTTCCAATTTTTGGAATCTGTGCTTCCTGGGTGGCTGTCCTCAAGCTTTGTGCCTAATAACCTTTACATTTGACATATTTCTTGAATCTTGTTATTTAAAGTTGACACAGGCTATACTATCCTGTCACAACTACTCAATTCTATCTTTGTAGTATGAAAGCAGCCAGAGACAATGTATAAATAATACACAGTAGCTGTGTTCAAATAAAATTTTATTTAAAAAACAGGCAGTGGGCAGGCAGACCTGTGGTCTAAATCTTCCTCCTAAGCAATCCCCTTGCATCAGACATTCTTTCAATTTCACCTTCCTAAAGAAATTTCACCCAGATGCTGCCTGTAGTCTCACATTAGGAGGTCCCTTCACCATTGTCCTGGTGAGTCCCTGCACTCCTAAATCGAATAGAATGTTAACTATACCTCATGTCTCTTTCACTGATTACTTTTGATGAGGACATCCTTTAGCAGTTTCTTGACAAACAGTATTTGAAATCTTGGAGGTCTGCCAATGTCTTTTTTCTGTCCTCGAACTTGGTTGATAGTTTGGCTAGATATAGGATTCAAGGTTAAAAACCATTTTCTTCCATCTCTTATCTTTCTGACCTCCTTTCTGGAAGATTTCTTATTTAACTTCTAAATGTTTTATGGAGTTTTTATTTCCTTTATTGTATTTTATTTTTTTGCTTTTTTTCTTTTTATAAATGAATAAATTGCTCACACTCAGGTCTTTTTAATTTTTAAAGAGCTCCTATTGTTCTCAGTCTTTTTTATAGTATGCTATTATTGTATTATTGCTACAATATCTTATGTTTATAATAAGTTTTTTAAATTATAATGGAAATTTTTAAACATTCACAAGAGGAGAGAAAAAGGTTAATGAACCCCCATGTACTATTAGGAATTCTAGAAGCAGACCTTGCCCTGTATAGTCTGGTCCTCCATGTCACCTTCTTGTGTTTGCTTTAGTCTTTATCTTTCAAGAGTTCAGGTCCATTAGATTACTAGTTATCTGACATTCTTTGTTGTTCCATCACATTTACAGATGTGGGACTGAATGGCTGATTGAAAGCTCTCAGCTTACAAGTGGAGTCTGTTGCCTGTTACCCTCACTGAGGATTATCTCGGCTGGGCCATTAAAATTGGTCTCTTCTCTTAAACTCATCCCCTTCCCCAAAGAAACATCCTCTGATTTCCTGCTTAGAGAGTGAAGGCCCGATTGCTAGCTTTCCGGTAGCCAGTGAGATAAGAGGGCTGGGAATCTTAGCACTCAGCACACTGACATCACTTCACCATGCTGTTTTAATTATGAGACCTCTGCCTCAGTTGTATCTGTTGTTCCTCAGTCCACAGAGCCCCTATTTCCCTCTCCAGAGTAAGCCTCCAATGTTTGCCAGGGTAGGGAAAAGTAATTACCCAGCTGTGGGATATAGGGTAGGGGCTGCGGGATCTGCATTCTTCTTAGATTTCAACCAGTCTTCCCAAGTTTAGTAATGCTTTCAACCTCATTTCCACAGGTGCTGATGCTGCCAGACTTTTGGAAGTTCTATGGTATAAGGTTGGCTCCTGGCTTTCCCACAGCTGGCTTGGGGTTCTGTTATGTTATTTACTGCTCGTTCTTTTTTCCAACTTCCCAACTTTTGCCGCCATTGTCTTTCAGGCTGTTTTCCTCATCCTTGTGGGTTTACACCTTTAAAAACCCATTTAGTGTTATTTTATGGGGGTTTTAGGAGAGCAGGAAGTAAACATAAGTCCAATCTACTATGTCTTTTGAAAAGTTCACCTGTTATTTCTGAAAGATCTAAGATGATTTGCTATCTTTGGCCAGGGCCTACCACTTATCATTCTTAAAGGGGCCTCCATTGCTATTTTGGGTTTAGGCAAAATGAGTGTTAGTTCCTTACTAGGGATTTGAAAATTATAATGATGCATACCATTATAAAAACATCTTAGGCCAGGTGCGGTGGCTCACACCTGTAATTCCAGCACTTTGGGAGGCTGAGGTGGATGGATCACAAAGTCTGGAGTTCAAGACCAGCCTGGTCAAGATGGTGAAACCCCGTCTCTACTAAAAATAAAAAAAATTAGCCAGGCGTGGTGGCAGGCGCCTGTAATCCCAGCTACTAGGTAGGCTGAGGCAGAGAACTGCTTGAACCCAGGAGGTGGAGGTTGCAGCAAGCCGCAATGGCGCCACTGCACTCCAGCCCAGGCGACAGAGTAAGACTCAGTCTCGAAGCGACAGAGCAAGACTCCGTCTCCAAAAAAAAAAAAAAAAGCCAGGCGAGGTGGCTCACGCCTATAATCCCAGCACTTTGGGAGGCAGAGGTGGGTGGATCACGAGGTCAGGAGATTGAGACCATCCTGGCTAACACGGTGAAACCCCGTCTCTACTAAAAATACAAAAAAATTAGCCAGGTGTGGCAGCATGCGCCTGTAGTCCCAGCTACTTGGGAGGCTGAGGCAGGAGAACTGCTTGAATCTAGGAGGTGGACGTTGCAGTGAGCCAGGATCGCACCACTGCACTCCAGCCTGGGTGACAGAGCAAGACTCCGTCTCAAAAAAAATAAAAATAAAAATAAATAAAAAATTTTATAGTATAGATAGTAGAACATGATGTTTAGACCAGCAAATAAATATTGAAAAAAAAATCAGAAAAGAATATTACTTATGAATTACATTATAATGATACCTCTTTCTCTTGTTATTTAAACATTTAAATATCAGATTGGGGGAGTATTTTAAAACCCAAATTTAAGTGCGAGTAGACAGAAAAAAAATAGAGGAAAGAAGGAAGGAGTGTGGCATGAAAAATCTATTAAAAACCAATTTGAAAATCACACAGGGCTGGGCATGGTGTCTCACACCTGTAATCCCAGTACTTTGGGAGACTGAGGTGCAAGACTCCATCTCAAAAAAGAAAAAAAAAAAAAGAACTCACATGCTTTTGATTAAAATTTTACTTTCAAAAATTTGAAAGGATGAAAGATAACCAAAATAGAGTCTTATTTACACAGAAAATAACTCTCCCATTCTTAATAACCTTCTATCTCCCAAAATACAATACTACATTGCTCTACAGCAGTAATATAAAAGCGTTTTGGTTGATGAAATATTTTAATGGAGTGGGAGATCCTAAGGTCCAGAAACTTCAAGTTTCAGCTTGCTGCTGTAAAATCCCCTATTATCTGCCTCACGCCTATAATCTCAGCACTTTGGGAGGCCGAGGCAGGTGGATCATGAGGTCAGGGGTTTGAGACAAGCCTGGCCAATATGGTGAAATCCCGTCTCTACTAAAAATACAAAAACTAGCCCGGCATAGTGGCACGTGCCTGTAGTCCCAGCTACCCGGGAGGCTGAGGCAGGAGAATTGCTTGAACCCAGGAGGTGGAGGTTGCAGTGAGCTAAGATTGCACCACTGCACTCCAGCCTGGGCAACAGAGGGAGACTCCGTCTCAAAAAAAACCAAACCAAAACAAAAAAAATCCCCTATCATCCCTTATTATTACAACTTGAATTTACCATTGTTCTGAATAAGCTAACAACAGAAAGATGAATTAAAGAATGTCTTTTTTTTTGTCTCACTCTGTCACTCAGGCTGGAGCGTAGTGGCATGATCACAGCTCACAGCAGCCTTGACTTCCCAGGCTCAAGTGATCCTCCCACCTCAGCCTGAGTAGCTGGGACCACAGGTGCGCATCATCATGCCCAGCTAATTTTTTTGTTGTTGTGTTTTGTAGAGACGGGGTTTCCCCATATTGCCCAGGCTGGTCTCGAACTCCTGGGCTCAAGAGATACACCCTCTTCGGTCTCCCAAAGTGGTGGAATTGAGTGAGCCACTGTGCTCAGTCAACTTTTAAAAAAAGAAAAAATATTGGAAATGCTGATGCCACATAAAATCATCCTATAGGTTAGCATTCGTAGCCCTTTTAACACCTTTACTCCTAAGTAATTTAAAGATCTCTTTCAAACTAAACATTTTTCCTCTGCATTCTCCAGCTCAGGTTCTGATATGCCTCACTGAGTGAGTGAGTGGGACTCCCTGGCTGAGATTCCCTTCTACAACAGTGTTTGCTTTGTTTTTTTTTTTTTCTCTCTTTTTTTTTTTTTCCACACATGGAGAGTCTTTGCTTTTTGGGCACAATTAAAATAATCCCAGAAGACAGTGTGGCCTAGTGATTAAGCATACAAACTATCACGCCAGGTGCGGTGGCTCACACCTGTAATCCCAGGACTTTGGGAGGCTGAGGTGGGCAGATCACGAGGTCAGGAGCTCGAGACCAGCCTGGCCAACATGGTGAAACCTCGTCTCTACTAAAAATACAAAAATTAGCCAGATGTGGTGGCAGGTGCCTGTAATCCTAGCTACTCGGGAGGCTGAGGCAGAATAGCTTGAAACTGGAAGGCGGAGGTTGCAGTGAGCCGAGATCGTACCACTGTACTCCAGCCTGGGCAACAAGAGTAAAATTCTGTCTCAAAAAAAAAAAAAGCTATTGGGCAGACTGCCTGGGGTTGAATCCTGACTCTACCACTTGCCAGTTGCGTGACCTTGGGAAAATTGTTTAACTGCTGTATGACTTACTTCCCTTGTGTTTAAGATGGGGCTAATCATATTACTTACCTTACAAAGTTGCTAAATATGTAAAGTGCTTACATATATACATATATTTGGCATATGATAAACACTCATACAAATGCTAGTATTGGTTGTGCTGATTAAGTGCCAGATCATTTAAGGTCAGCATTATTGTGCTTCCAGGTTTTTTGGGTTCAGCAATAGTTGTAGTGACTGCACTGGATCTGCAGGTGTCATGGGTTTAGCATTCCATGACTATTTTCATATAGTCAGATAATAAAGTCAATACCAAGAATTTAAAAGATGAAGTCTTGACAGAGATTCTGAAGACGCTGTTAATATCAATATTGATGTAATCAGAGGAACAGAGACAAGGAGATAAAATTTCAAATGAAGAGTCTCTGCCTAATTAAACAAGTTTAACTTTCCATCTCTTCAAAGGGTAACTTCCATCTTTTGAATTGTAAGAAATGCTCATGTTAGAAAAGATGTCTCAATAATTTTATTGCCTCCTCTTTGTGCCCCCTACATTTTAACCAAAAATTCCTATGGTGGGAAAGTTATAGGATATAGAAGATCCTAAGTTTGCTTTGATAGGCTACTTCGCTTGCAGTATATATGAAATTCTACAGAATTCAGCCACCAGGCAAACATGTTTCCATGGAAAAATGTTCTGTGCTCACCATATAATGCTAGGCTTACATCTCCTCACCCTGCTGTATCTTGGCTCCTTGGCTGCAAAAGGCCAAACTCCTGCCATCATGTCCATTTGAAGTGGATTTGAAAAGATGATTTAAAAATAGTTTCATAAAGTGCCTTTTCCTAACTTCTTTTCTAAGAAGTTTCCAGGTATCTGGTTATATGAAATAGCCATTTACATATAAGGGTTAGGCTCAATTTGAGTCAGTGAATGATTGAATGTCTGTACCTACCAAGGAACCTTACAATTTTAATTTGCAGGTAAAAGACAAATTAATGCAAATAGTGACAATTTTGTTTTTACCTTTCCTATGTTAACACTTTTATTTTTCTTGTCATATTGCTCTGGTAAGAACCTCTAGTACAGGGCCGGGCATTGTGGCTCACACCTGTAATCCCAGCATTTTGAGAGGCTGAGGTGGGCAGACCACAGGGGTCAGGAGATGGAGACCATCCTGGCTAACACGGTGAAACCCCATCTCTACTAAAAATACAAAAAATAAACCGGGCATGGTGGTGGATGCCTGTAGTCCCAGCTACTCGGGAGGCTGAGGCAGGAGAATGGCATGAACCCAGGAGGCGGAGCTTGCAGTGAGCCAGGATCACACCAATGCACTCCAGCCTAGGTGACAGAGTGAGACTCCGTCTCAGAAAAAAAAAAGAACCTCTAGTATAATGTTCTAGTACAGTGATAATAAGCATCCTTCTCTTTCATTCTTAATCTTTCAGGGATAAATATTCAACCAATTAAGTATATTATTTGCTGTAAAATTTTTTATAGATACCATTAATCAGATTAGCCTTAATAGAAGAAATTCCCTTCTATTTCCAATTTGCTAAGAGTGTTTTCTTTTTTATCATCAATGAGTTGCATTTTATTAAGAATTTTTTTATCGATTGAAATGGGTATGTAATTTTCCCCTATATTTTGTTAATATGAACTACTTTGATTGATTTGAATTTTAAACCAACCTTTCAATCCTAGGATGTATGCTGTCACTATATAACATTACATATTTTAATATATATTGCTGGGTTTTATCTTGCATCTATAACCATGTAAGAGGTCTGCCTGTAAATTTTCCTTTCTTATAACATCTTTAGTTCAGGTTTTGGTGTCAATGTTATGCTATCCCGATAAAACAAGCTTAGGAAGTATCCTTTCTTCTTCTATGCTCTGGAAGAGTTGTGTTTAATGTCCTTTTACTATTTTGTTTTGGTTTTTTTAGAGACGGGGTCTTGCTGTTGTTGCCCAGGCTGGTTTCAAAGGATTCTCCTGCCACAGTCTCCTGAGCAGCTGGGAATACAGGTGCACATATACCATACCCAGCTCCTCTTTTTAGTAACTATAAGATTTGTAGTGATATCCCCCTTTTCATTCTTGATATTGGTAATGTAGTTAACAGTGTTTTCAAAGAAATGAAATTTTCTGGTATTGCTATTTCTACCATATGTTTCCTATTTCAACAAATTCTCCTTCATTTTTCCCGCTTTCTACTGTAATTGGATTTAATTTGCTTTTCTTTTTCTTATTGAGATAAATATTTAGATTACTGATTTTTAGCTTTCTTACTTTCTATAATATTAGCATTCTAAGGCTATAAATCCTTCCTATGCATAGATTAAGCTACATCTCACAACTTTTGATAGATAATATTTTCATTATCATTCTGCAAACAATATTTTTGAATTTTCATTGTAATCTCTTAATACACAGTAAACATTAAATTCCTCTTATGCTCTACTGATAAACAGTTTCTCATCTTTTGTTATTAGAAACAATGTGGCAACAAATAGCATTATACAAATGTTCATTCATATGTAAGTTTATAGGATAAATTTCCAGAAGTGAAATTGCTGTGTCAAAAGCTAAATGTAGTAGTAATTTTGAAAGATATTGCTATATTATCTTTATAAAGATTGTACCAATTTATATTTTCATTAGCAACTTGTGAGACTGATTCTTACTGAAAGATTTTTAAATTGGAGAATTACCAAGTCAGAAGGTTCTCACTTAGGTATAGAGGATGGCTAGTAGTGTTTCTTAACTAACTGGGCTATGCCTGACTGGGGACATATTCGTGGAAATCCATCCATGAAGTCTCTTTAAGAATAGAGATATCGGGCCGGGCGTGGTGGCTCACGCCTGTAATCCCAGCACTTTGGGATGCCGAGGTAGGCAGATCACCTGAGGTAGGGAGACCATCCTGGCTAACACAGAGAAACCCCGTCTCTACTAAAAATACAAAAAATTAGCCAGGCGTGGTGGCACATGCCTGTAGTCCCAGCAACTCGGGAGGCTGAGGCAGGAGGATCACTTGAACCTGGGAGGCAGAGGTTGCGGTGAGCCGAGATTGCATCACTGCACTCCGGCCTGGGCAACAATAGCAAAACTCCGTCCCCCCAACCCCCCTCAAAAAAGAATACAGATATATTGTGTTTTCATTTCAACATTAATCTTCATTAATAAAAACATTCTGAATCATAAGATAAGTATCTATAATTAAGTACTACCATTGGAATTTGGTGCCTATATTTATAATAATTTTGGTACAAAGCAGTACTAAAAAGTAAAGGTCCAGAAAAGTAAATGGGTGCATACTTAAAAGCAAACTCTATTTTCTCACCTCTTAAAATTGATGACCTCTGAACTATGTATGTATGGGGCAGACTCCGAGCAGAATAAAGCTCCGCAATTCTTAGCTAATACATTACGGTTCTAGACAGAAGGGTGCTCGGAGCAACATAGGAACTATTAACTATTCAGGAAATCTAATTGTTTCTTTCTCTTTCCTCCAATTTAAATGTCCTTAAATGTTTGGATATTTAGGAAGGTCAATTAACTTCACCTTGATATTAGAGGCATGTCTTAAAATTTAAAAATCAGATTTTTCTTAAGTGAAAGGTATTACAAATTACTGAGTTTTTACTTTTAGATAATTTAATATGGTCTTAACACATTTTTGCAGCCTATGTAGCGCTTTTTTAACTATTCACCTTTACCATCCTGAGTAGCAGCCAAATACTTGAATTACTTTTTGACTCCTAAAACTATTCTATTTCTGCTTTGTTGACACTCACTGCTTAGTATAAAAGGCTTATGCATGCCACCACTTGCAGGAATCCTCTCACCAAGGGAAAGGATTATCTAGCTTTTCTTTAAAAAACAAAATAAATTTATCCCAAGCAAATGTCTGCCAATCTATTATCACTCAGCCAATTCTGGTAGTCTTGGCACCCTTCTCATTAAAAACCCATGTCAGACCTGTCATCATATATCATTCTCTTCATGACAAGTATTGGGGTGTAGCAATGGGCTCATAACCAATTAGGGCCATGGAGATGATAATGAAAGTTCTGTGGGGCTTTAGGGAAAAGTTAAAGAGGGATTACAAGAAAAAAAAATCTATTTTTTCTCTTGTCTTTATCTTCATGGAAGTGTGAGGTCTTACATTTCCTCAGAGCTACTGGCTGAGGATGAAACCAACACAGAGGAAAGCAGAACTGGGAGAAACAGAGCTTGAATCACCAGATTAAGTACATCATCCTGTTCTATTTTCAATGTCCAATTATGTGAGCTAATAAATTCCCTTATTGTGAAAGTCTGTTTGAATTGGACTTTGAGTTACTTAGAGATACAAATAGTTAGCTTGGCTTTTAAGGTATACCAAAATCTGAACTCAACTTTCCAACCATATTTCCCAGAACTTCAATTTATGTATGCATATTACAGACAACTTATTGTTTCTAACACGTGTGCTATACTTCCATAGTTCTGTGTGTTTGTTCATAGTTACTACTGCACAAAATGCCCACCCATCTACCAGTCCCATCTCTAGCTACCTAAATTCTATCCACCATCTTCTAAATCCTAAAATAAATAAAGCTTCCATAAAGTTTCCTCTGGTCTAAGAAGGCCATAGTCCCAGTGGTTAGCACAGAATAGGTACTCTTTGTAAGACAGATAAAAACTTGTTGACTCACATCAGATAATACTTGCAGTATGTAATTACTTTATAAGATTAATTTAGCTTCTGTTAATATAAAATTAGGTCTAATCAACTTAAGGATAACTTAGCAAGGGCCACAGGGCTAAAAGAGATCTCAAAATAGTATCTAAAATATCTTTATAAGGAGAAAATTGACATTAAAAATAAAGCTGAATTAAAGCTGAATTAAACAGAAGAACATTAAAAATAAGGCTGAATTAAACCGAGGAAGTTTGGGTTTACCAGTTGAATTCACAAAAGAATGCTGGTGAAGTATCTATTGCTTCAATGGGGTTGAACACGGGGACGGGGCTATGTGTTGAAAGACAACCTCTTCTACCATCTGCCCAGAATAGCTGGGATATTCTCTTCTCTTAGGAGACAGCCAGGAGGGCAGAACAAATGCTCCCTCAAGAGCAATCTACTTCTATTACTCTGATTGGTCACCATAGGATTAAAATATTAAAATGACTAATCCCCTAATATGGCAAAGGATTAAATACATTGAATACCAGTCCTCTTGAAATCAAATCAGAGGAGTGCTTGTGGGATTTAAATAAGTAAATACATATACACCAGAAATAAACCTTTACAATACCAATAGCTACCCAAATGAAAAACTAGCTCCTAATTTTCAAGAAATGAACATTCTTATTATCAGTAATTCAGAATGTGCTCTTAAATAGAGAATATACTACCAAAATCCATAGTCAGATTTAAAAGCACTAGATGAAATTACACTTTCAAAAAAAATGTAAAATAATACTTAGCAGCTGGCACCCCCTATACTGGAGTTGGAGCATTTGAATTTTTACGTCAAGACTCCAAAATGTGAGCTGACAAACAACATGGCTAAACCCTCAATTCAATTATGTCAAGATTGTGTAAGGAACTAAGCACCGAAGAAGATTCTGAAATAAACAATTCCTGCTTTCAAATAGCTAATCATCTAGCTGAGGGAAAAGAAAAGTAACAACCAGAATATGATAAATATTGTGTGAGGATTTTAGAGAACTACTGCGTGAGTTTAAATGAGGGAATGTGTGTATCTACTTATGGCATGGGACATATAAAAGAGATATCACTTGAATTTGGCCTAAAAAAGTAAGAAGAATGCTATGGTTTGAATGTGTTTGTCTCTGAAACTCAAGTTCAAACTTAATCTCCAATGTCAGTATTAAGAGGTGAGGCCTTTAAAAGGTGATTTGGTCATGAGTGTTCTGCTTTCATGAATAGATTAATCCATTCAAGGATTAATGGATTAATGAGTTATCAATGGAGTAGGTTAGTTATCACAAGAGTGAGTCTGTTCTAAAAGCCACTTTGGCTCTCAGCGCTTCTCTCTCACCCTGTGATGCCTTCTGCCATGTTATGAAGCAGCACAAGGCTCTCACCAGAAGCCAACTAGATGCAGCCACCTGATCCCAAGATCAGCCTCCACAACTGTGAGAAAGAAACTTACATTCTTTATAAATTACATAGTCTCAGATATTTTATTACAGCAATAGAAAATTAACTTAGATATAGGATTTTTTTTACTTTGTTAAGTAACATACGTATATAATTTCTAAAAGTCAAAGCATACCACAGGGTAGACAACAAAAAATGATGGCCCTATACTTTCCTCCCTCAGACACCTGTTTCTCAGATACAACCCCTCTGTTTCTTTTGCTATTTCCATATAGATTATAAATGTTTTAATAGCACTATTTCCAGATTATCCTATTTAAAATTTATTTGTTGGTTTCCTACTACGGCAGGTAAGAATTTGACTATCTTAAACCATTGTCCTCTTCTCCTTCAGCTTCCTCCTTCTCCTCTCCTAGATAATTAAAAATTCCTTCTTGGGCTGGGTGCCATGGCTCATGCCTGTAATCCCAGCACTTTGAGAGGCCAAGGCGGGTGGATCACCTGAGGTCAGGAGTTTGAGACCAGCCTGGCCAAAATGGTGAAACTCTGTCTCTACTAAAAATACAAAAATTAGCTGAGCGTGATGGCATGTGCCTGTAATCCCAGCTATGTGGGAGGCTGAGGCAGGAGAATCACTTGAACCCAGGAGGCAAAGGTTGCAGCAAGCTGAGATCATGCCACTGCACTGCAGCCTAGGCGACTAGAGAGAGACTCCATCTCAAAAAAAAAAAAAAAATCCTTCTCAGTGCCAACTGTCTTTTGTAACTGTGTCTATGATTATACCTATTAGTTTGTGCTCTATTTATTTTCTCATGTGCCTGTTTTGTCTAACAGACTGCGCTATTCTCAGCTTTGCACCCAGTGTATAAATCAGTGCCTAGTCCTTAGTAGGAACTCAGGTTTGCTGAACAGAATTAAATTACAGTAATCTGTGAGCACAAAACTTTATGTGGTGTCATCTGTAGACAATCATCAATGTTCATGGACACTACCAGGGTTAGTGTGGCAACAATAACTCAGAAATCCAGAAACTACTTGTTACAAAAAATAGATTTATGGACAAAAACAGAAACTGTCAAATTTAACGTATCAGAATATCTCCCAGCATTCAATTCCCAGAAGTTTTACTTTAAGCCATTATCCTGAGCTAAGCTGTTAGGCCTAACAACATACTAAAATGTAATATTTATAGCTTCCCCCTGGAACTATTAGAACAGTTTAAAAAAGAAATCACTCAGTTATCTGAAAATAAATTTCAGAAACTCAAATATGAACTTTTACCTACTTTAATACAGGAAATAAACCAAGGCAGGTATTTCCAAAGACTATACAGGTAGCAAACCTAGGGACATACCAGCAGATACTTTTGAGTGACTTTAAAGTTTGTGTAGATAGGAAGATGGCAAATACTTAGCACCTAGGCCACTGCTTCCCCTTCTCAGTCAAGGATAACTGAGCCCTCCTCTTGAGCCTTGTTCCTTGCAACAGTCAAGAGCCCTCAAAATGCCATTTGGAGATACAAACAATGAGATGGCATTTTTAGAACTGGAATTTATTATATCTTTATTAATTTTATATCCTTTGAGACACACAGTAAGATGCTTAACAAATGCTTGCTGATTGAGCAGAAGTGAACTCTCCGGTAAGCAAAATCTGACATTGGTTTCTCTGCTTAAGAGAATCACTATTACACTTTCCATGTGTCTAACGATGTTTTTAAACTTTTTATTTTGAAATAATTTCAGACTCAAAGAAAAGTTGTAAAAATAGTATAAAAATTCTCATATGCTTCACCCAGATTCCCCAAATGTTAATATTTCTCACATTTGCTTTACTTTGTCATTCTCTCTATCCATATCTATTTTTTCTGTCATTTTTTTCACTCAAATTTTGAGAATAAGTTAAATGAAAAGGTTAGACAAAAAGATCTAGGTAGTCCTTCCATTTCTCAGATTCAATGACTAAGTAAAAAATAAACAGCAATTATCAGTGAGAATTATGTTTAACCATTGTCCAATTAAAATTAAAACCCTAGGAATTTTTGTATTTGGGGGCATAATATTTCCAACAAAACTATATTAGAAAATAAGAGGTATTTTTGGAATAACAATGGCACTTTGCTAGACCTTAAGAAGACCTAAAAGTGAAAAAGACATGGTAAACCCCCAAAGAGTCAAGGAGGTGGGGAGAGAATTCTTTATTTCCAATGCTTATTTCCAGTTACTTACCAAATTATAATATTTTCAAGATCATATTATATCCACATTCATCTATTGATAATAACCCAGTAAATTAGCTTTGTCTGTTATTATTTTAGTTCTATGTGTATAGGTTAATTTTTCATATCTGGGCTAAGTCTAGACTGGGCTAAGGGATGCCCAGATAGCTGGTAAAACATTATTTCTAAGTGTGTCTGTGTGTGTGTTTCTGGAAGAAAATAGCATCTGAATTGATGAATTGAGTAAAGTGGACACTCCCTTCCCCCGCAATGTGGGAAGGCAACATTTAATCCATTGAGGGCCCAAGGAGAACAAAAAGGTAGAGGAAGGGCAAATTTACTCTCTCTGCTTGAGCTGGGCCATACATCTTCTCCTCCCCTTCAACATCAGTGCTCCTGGTTCCTGGGCTTTCAGACTGAGACTGGGACTTACACAGTTAGTACCCCAATTCTCAAGGCCTTTTGACTTGGACCAGGACTTACACCATCAGCTCCCCAGTTCTTCGGCTTTCAGACTTAGACTAGAACTGACAACGTTGGCTCCCTTGGTTCTCAGTCCTTCAGGCTTGGACCGGAACGACACCACTGGCTTTCCCAGGCCTCCAGCTTACAGACAGCAGACTGTGGGACTTCTCAGCAGCCATAATCACATGAGCCAATTTCTCATAATAAATCTCTTTCTACATATCTTTATACAGATGATCCTTGACTTACAACGGGGTTACATTGTGATAAACCCATTGTAAGTCGAAAATGCATTTAATACACCTAACCTACTGAACATCATAGCTTAACCTAGCATACCTTAAATGTGCTGAGAACATTTACATTAAACTACAGTTGGGCAATCATCTAACACAAAGCCTATTCTATAATAAAGTGTTTAATACTGCACACAGATGGGCATTTTGTAGAGATGATGGGATGTGAAAACAAAAAACACAATATCCAAAAAGTACTGGCAACACAGTACACTGTGGAGTATTGGTTGTTTACCCTCATGATCATGTGGCTGACTGGGAGCTGCAGCTCACTGCCACTGCCCAGTATCTCCAGAGAGTAGTGTACCGCATATCACTAGCCTGGGAAAAGATCAAAATTCAAGATTCAAATTGTGGTATCTACTGAACGTCTATTACTTTCACACCATCATAAAGTCAAAAAATCATGAAGTTAACTACCTTAAGTCAGGGACCATCTATATGTCCTATTGATTCTGTTTCTCTGGAGAACCCTGACTTATTATGGTAACATAAAAAATTTCTTTCATGTATACTTTTTCTAAATATCTGAAATTAGGCATATCTTCCAATTAGAGAATAGAAATTTTACCTTATTTGTAAGGATGATTCACCTGATTCTTCAACATCATTACAGAAACACAGAATTTGATTCACAATATAGCTAAACCTCAATTAAGACCACTTATTTCATGTCTCCATCCTGAATGACATCAAACTGAAAAGTTTTTTTCTTTTTTTCTTTTGAGACATGGTCTCACTCTGTCACCCAGGTTGGAATGCAGTGGCATGATCTTGGCTCACTGCAACCTCTGCCTCCTGGGTTCAAGTGATTCTCCTGCCTCAGCCTCCCAAGTAGCTGAGATTAGAGGCACATGTCACCATGCCCAGCTAATTTTTTTTTTAGTAGAGATGAGATTTCACTATGTTGGCCAGGCTGATCTCGAACTCCTGACCTCAAGTGATCCATTCACCTCGGCCTCCCAAAGTGCTGGGATTACAGGCATGAGCCATCATACCCAGCCTGAAAAGTTTTATTAGTTTTTTTTGAAGCAAAGGGGGAAAACCTGCTGGTGTGGAAAATAAAAACTTTTAGGCAGTGAACATTTAATAACAACAGTGAAGCAGAACTAAAAACTTGTTTAAAGTTAATATGTAATTTTCCATTTTCCAACTGGTAGCTCTGAACAGTGACTGATGGCGAAAAACATACAGACTTCTCTAGGGAAGAGCAGGATATGGAGGCAAAGCAATAAAAAACAAGTGATGATAAGAAAAGCAGAAAAGAAGAAGAAAATTATTAGATAGCTGAAGTAGAGATGAAATTATCAATAATTATAAGCAATGATAGAGAAAAGTCCTAGCATAAGAAAAACTAAAGATAGGACACTGTTTCCTTCTACTGGGGAAAAAATGAAACTATTAGCTCAAAAATCCTTAAAGGCAATATTATCATTAGGTGAGTAATTTTGGGGCTGGGGCTGAGGGTGGCAAAGACCTGAACATATATCATTACTGTACCCGAGGGTGTATACCTTAGAGTTACTCTCAGTTATTACAAAAAGTTGACCTAAAAGTTGGTCCCCAATATGTTGAATAACTGATTTTTACTATATTAATTTTATTTTACTTTGTTCTAACTTTTATGTCAAAAAAGAATTATGTAAATTAAAATCTCTTAAAGCTCAGTTTTAAATTATGGATAAAACACTAGAATATGAAAATCTAGACTATGTAATTTGAGTATTTCAATATCCTTGATTTAAAAGGGAAAAACCTATTTAGTATCTTATTAAATGGTATGCATTTGAAATGTGAGCTTATTAAATTTTTATACCTACCAGATGAAAATGCTTTTGTTGCAATTATTCAAATAGTTATTAAACCAAAATCCTAAATTCTGTGGGCAATTTCTTTTTTGAATTAGTTATTTTTAATTGAAGAATACATGCATATTGTAAAAAACACTCAAATAGTACAATGAAAAGTACGAGTCCCTCCCCAGAGGCACCCACTGTCAACAGTTGAGCTCTAACCACATGGCAGCCACTATGCTGCCTGCTCTTTTTTTGTGGGGCAGGGAAAGGAACAACATTTATCGTTTAGACTTTTGTTTGAAGTGCTGCCTGCCAAATGTCCAATTAAATTATAGCCAGTGCATTATTACATTGATTTTAAGATGTCTCCCAATTTCAGAGACGTTAATATGTGTCAAAACACATATCTCTATCGTGTGGTTTTCAGAGCTTAATTCTGGTATCTATGGTGTGACATTATCTCTATGAAATGAGCTTTGAATACCATTTTTATAATGCTCAAATACAAGAAATATCATTAGAAAATCATCCCAAATCCTCTTAAGCATATTAGACTGAGGGGAACAACTGCAATTTGAAGTAGGGTGGTAAGAGGACATTTGAGCAGGCCTGAAGGCAGTGATGGTGATTTTCATACAGATTTCCAAGGGAAGACTTCTCGTGGAGGAGGAAACAGTCAGTAGGAACATGAAGTAGGAATACGTTTGGGATGTTCAGTAACAGCAAGAAAGCCAGTATAGACACAGGGGAATGACTAAGGAGTAGAAGGAAGAGGTCAAATAAGGCCTTAGATACCACTCTAAGACTTCAGGGGTTTTTAGATGGGAAGCCATGATGGAATTCTGAGCCTAGCACAGACACAATTTGACTTTTAAAAGGAGCACTCTGGATACTATGTTGGAATTCTCCAGCGGACAAAGGTAAAAATAGGATGACACACTAGGAGCTTATGTAGTAATCTAGGAGCAGGGTAGAGGTGATAGTGGCTAGGACCAGGATGAAAAGAAGTGGTCAGGGGATATGTATTTAAATTTAGAAGCAAAAAGATTTCCTGACTGAGTGGATGTGGAATATGAGAGAAAAAGAGGAGCCATGGACGACCCCAAGGCTTCTGATCTAAGTGACAGGAAGGATGGAGGCTGCTATCAATAATGAGATGGTAAAGGCTATGAAGGAGTATATATTTTTAGGAAAATCCACAGTTCAGTTTGAGAGAGTGTTATGGGAAAGGGGTCCTGATCCAGCCCGCAAGAGAGGATTTTTGGATCTCGGGCAAGAATTCAGGGTGAGTCCATAGACTAAAGTGAAAGCAAATCTATAAAGAAAGTAGAGGAATAAAAGAATGGCTACTCCATAGACAGAGCAGCCTTGATGGCTGCTGGCTGCCCATTTTTATGGTTATTTCTTAATTATACGGTAAACAAGGGGTGGATTATTCATGCCTCCCCTTTTAGACCATATAAGGTAACTTCCTGACATTTCCATGGCATTTGTAAACTGTCATGGTGCTGGCAGGAGTGTAGCAGTGAGGAAAACCAGAGGTCACTCCTGTTCCCATCTTGATTTTGGTGGGTTTTAGCCAGCTTCTTTACTGCAGCCTGTTTTATCAGGAAGGTCTCTATGACCTGTATCTTGTGCCATAACCTCTTATCCTATGACTTAGAATGCCTTAACCACCTGGGAATGCAGCCCAGTAGGTCTCAGCCTTATTCTACCCAGCCCCTACTCAAGATGGAGTTGCTCTGGTTCAAATGCCTCTGACAAGAGGACTATTAGACATACTAGTGAAGGAGTCAAACACTCAGAAATAAAAATCTGTTAAGTATATTCCTTTGAAGAATACATGATATTTTTAATGCTCTCATAACAAAAAATAATACACAATATTTTATTTAGTCATCCCTCTACTAATGGACATTTAGATTATTTCTAATTTGTTACTCTTACAAAATATCTTGCAGTAATATCCTGTCTTTCTCTAGGATATATAGCCCCAAGTAGAACTGCTATGTCATAGATAATTTAAAATATTGCTAAACTGCTCTTCAGATTGGCTGCATCGATTTGTGTGTGTTAATTTCCCTAAAAGCTCACCAATATTTGATATTGATGAGTAAAAAATAGTATTTTGCCCTGTTTTGCATTTCCCTGATCTTTTCATATATTTTTATTTCTATAAACAATGAAAAGTCTTTGTGTCTTTTGTACATTTTTCTTCTGGGTTTTAAATACTATTATTGATTTGTAAAAACCATTGAGCTGTTTACATACATAGTCATGTGCCACATGACATTTCAGTCAACGACGGACTGCATATATGACAATGGTTCCCGTAGATTATAATGGAGCTGAAAAATTCCTGTTGCCTAGTGATGTCATAGTCATTGTAATGCCATAGCACAATTACTTTATTTTTAAAATAAATTTAGTGTAGCCTATGTGTACAGTGTTTATAAAGTCTACAGTAGTATAGGGTAATATCCTAGGCCTTCACATTCACTCATCACTCACTGACTCACTCAGAGCAACTCCCAGTCCTACTAGCTCCATATATAGTAGGCGTATCATTTTAAGACTCTTTTATACTGCCCAGGCACCGTGGCTCACACCTGTAACCCTAGCACTTTGGGAGGCCAAGGTGGGTGGATCACTTGACCCCAGGAGTTCAAGATCAGCTTGGACAACATGGTAAAGCCCCATCTCTACTAAAAATACAAAAATTACCTGAGCATGGTGGCACATGCCTATAATCCCAGCTACCCGAGAGGCTGAGGTGGGAGAATCACTTGAGCCCAGGAGGTGGAGGTTGCAGTAAGCTAAGATTGCGCCACTGCACTCCAGCCTGAGCAACAGAGAGAGAGACACTATCTCAAAAAAAAAAAAAAAACAACTTTTATACGGTATTTTTACTGTACCTTTTCTATGTTTAGATACACAAATACTTACCATTGTGGTCCAATTGCCTACAGTCTTCACTACAGTGATATGATGTACAGGTCTGCAGCCTAGAAGCAAAAGGCTATGCCATATAGCCTAGGTGTGTAGTAGGTTATACCATCTAGGTTTGTCTAAGTACACCCTATGATGTTCGTACAATGATGAAATCACCTAATTTCACATTTCTCAGAAGGTATCCCTGTCATTAAGTGACACATGACTGTATACTCAATACTTATTTTTGTTATGTGCACTTCAAACACTTTATTGTGTCTCTTGAACACTCTAGTTTTTAGATTTTTTTTTTAATTGGACATTTTATTTTTATTCACTTATTTTTATTATTATTATTTTTTTGAGACAGAGTCTCACTCTGTCACCCAGGCTGGAGTGCAGTGGCGCTATTTCAGCTCACTGCATCCTCCGCCTCCTGGGTTCAAGCAATTCTCATGACTCAGCCTCCCGAGTAGCTGGGATTACAGGCGCTCACCACCATACCAGCTAATTTTTTGTAGTTTTAGTACAGATGGGGTTACCACATTGGCCAGGCTGGTCTCAAACTCCTGACCTCAAGGGATCTGCCTGCCTCAGGCCTCCCAAAGTGCTGGGATTACAGGCGTGAGCGACCGTGCTGCCCAGCCTAGTTTTTAGTTTTGATGTACTCATATTTATCTTTTCCTTAATGACTTATGACTTCTGATTTCTGGGTCTTGTAAGGAAGGGGTACCCTACTTGAAGACATTAAGAGTCTCCTATATTTTCTTCAAATACTTTATTTTTATTTTTTAGAGAAACCCTGTTTCACTATGTTGCCCAGGCTAGCCTCAAACCCCTGGGCTCAAGCGATCCTTCTGAGTAGCTAGGAATACAGGCACGGGCCATTGCACCCACCCAAATACTTTAGGGTCCCATTATTGTTGTTGAGATAAAATCCACCGGGAATTTATTTTGGTATATGGTATGGAGTAAAATTCTAACTTTTCCTCCCATATTGTGAATCAACAGTCCCAAAGCCATTTATTGGATAGTTTGTCGTTTCTCCATTGATACGAAAGGGCTACTCAATCATAACGTGAGTTCACAAATAAATCTAGACCTGAACTTTCTAATCTCTCCATTGATGTGGACTTCCTCCTATAACTACACTGTTTTAATTACATTAGTGTAACTAAACTTGACATCTAGTAGGAAGAACTCCTTTGTTTTGTTCATCTTCAAAACTATCTTAGCTATTCATTTATCTTGACTCTCTCAAATGAATTTTAGAACCAAATTTTTGTCCAGTGTCTTGAAAAACCATCCCGAATTCTGTTTGGAATTACGTTAAATTTATAGGTTAATCTGGAAGAACTGTCATCTTTATAATATTGAGTCTTCCTCTCTGTGAACACAAGTATTATCTTTCCATATATTCAGGTCTTTCATGTTTTTACATTTTAGAGAATACACAATGAAATATTTACAAATAACATTATATGATGCCTGAGGCTTGCTTCAAAATAATCCACTGGGGTCTGAAAATAACGTAGAGGAAATAACATTGACCATAATTTGGCAATTGTCGAGGGGGTGTGATGTGCACATGAGATTTCATTTACAAGTCTGAAATTTTCTGTAATAAAAAGATTTTGAAGGAATAACTATTTCTGAAATCACAGCCCCTAAAATGTATAAAAACTCATGACTGTTTTGTTGTCTTAGGGAGTAAGGGTAAAAGCAGAAGGAAAGACCAAAATGATATATTAATCAAAAATACATACAGGTTTAGGCATAAGATTATGAAATATTATTCTCTGTTTTTAAGTTTTGGTAATTTTTCTCATAAATAACTTTTCCCTCATCTCTTTGACAATAATTCTCACTGTGCAGATGTAATTTTAATAATACTCTGCAAACTAATGTAGGCTATGTATGTGCCCAGCCATGGAAATTGCTAGATCACAGAGTATGTGCATTTTCACCTTAATAAGTATAGTCAATTAGTTCTCAAAGTGGTCACAGTAGATTATAATCTCATTAGCAGTATATATGAGATCACCTTTTCCCATATCGGTGTCAAAGTCACCATCTTTGATTTTTCCAAATCTGATCGGCTTGAAATGATATATCATTTCTTTTATCAATTACAAATACCCTAAAGCAAATATGTCAAAATGTTAATGTTTGTTTACCCTTGCTAGACAGCATATGTATCTTTAAAAAATATTAATATTTCTTTTCCAAATTAATTCCCCCTCCCCAAATTAAAATAAGTTATTTCCCAAAGTTCATACTTGAATGCCTTCTCCCAAGTAACCAAAGTCCTAATCAAGTTACACATGAAAACAACACCTCTGCTTTTAGTAATCTATCTATGCCACTACACTTATGGTTATATCTTTTCTCAAGATTTTAAACATGAAAAGATAAGCTACTTCTGCACAAGGATCGTTTTCTCTAACTCACTGTCCTAATTGAAGTGAAATGGACATTTATATCAAGGACAGACATTACTTTTGCCTTTACCCCTATAAATACTCTCCCTGTAATTAAAATCTAATCATGTTTAATTTTCCTATTAACCACTGAACAGCAGTGCACTGTGCCCACTACTTGCTTAGCAGGAATAAGCTGTCTTCCAGTTTGATAGAAATAAAAAGAGGAGAGGAGGAGGAAAAAGTTCTTTACTCTCAGATGTTTCCCTTAGGTAAGTCTTAGTTCTTTTAAAATAAGCATTACTTTTGAAAAAGTTCAATAATGTAGTTGTATGCATGCTAATAAAAATATTTACCTAGTTAAACAATAAATAATATTGGTAAGAAATGAATTTTTTAAAAAGCATCTTTTCTCTTAAAGTAATAAATGGCTGAGATACAATATATGGAGAATGCTATTTATAAACACCAGACTTACCAATAATCTATCATTCTTTATATATCTTAATAATGGTGCTTTATATTTACAAAGTGCTTTGTGTTTTTTAAAAGTCTTTTTTTTTTTTTTTTTTTTGAGACAGAGTCTTGATCTGTTGCTCAGGCTGGAGTACAGTGGCACAATCTCGGCTCACCACAACCTCCATCTCCCAGGTTCAAGAGATTCTCCCGTCTCAGACTCCTGAGTAGTACACCACACCTAGCTAATTTTTGTATTTTTGGTAGAGACGGGGTTTCACCATGTTGGCCGGGCTGATCTTGAACTCCGGCCTCAAGTGATCTGCCCATCTCAGCCTCCCAAAGTGCTGGAATTACAGGCATGAGCCACTGTGCACAGCCTGAAAGACTCTTTTACCTGTACATCATTTGCATCTCACAACAATGCATCCGCCAAAGTCAGGGCAACTTCTGGCCACCAGAGTCCCAGCATTAGCAAAGTTGCCTGGGCACTTAATCACCATTTGCCACAAATTTTCTGAGGAATATGCTCTAAATGCATGCCCTAAAAGTTCAATTTTTGAAACACAGCAATACTACCTATTTGTAAGACAGGCTCTAGTATACAACTCTGTCACAAATGTTTACTTTCTCATCTATGTGGTATTTTAAGTACTTCAGTAGTATTTTATATAAAAATAATGTGTATTTTATGGTGTTTCATATATAACATGTCATCTCTTCTAGAAATCCTAAAAACCAACATAAGCCTGAGTAGTAAATTAACGGAGAAAACTGCTATTGGAAGAAATAAACAGTTTCAGAGTATTTAAAATAAGTTATTACATTCTTTTGCTTTTTCCTAAGTGTCAGTACAGAAATTTCGAATCAAGAAAAACATTCTGCTCCACATTCTGGCAATCTAGATATTCTTTTTCTACTTAAATAATTTTTTTTTAAAAAAAAGAACTTATTAACACAGTATGAAGGGAGTTTTACTCTGTGGGAAAACGCCACTTTTGCTCAGAGATCTCCATATACTTGCTTGTCACATTATGTTCCAGTGAGGTACAGAACAGGTAGTGGAATTTATTTGGTAGCTTGGACTATAATTTATAAGAAGTGAAAGTAAATGTATTATAGAAAAATAAAATCTAGCCAGGCGTGGTGGCAGGTGCCTGCAAACCCAGCTATTTGTGAGGCTGAGGCAGGAGAATTGCTTGAACCCGCAAGGCAGAGGTTACAGTGAGCCGAGATTGTGCCACTGCATTCCAGCCTGAGTGACACAGCAAGACTCTGTCTCAAAATAAATAAATAAATAGACAAACCACTGATTAATGTTAAATAAATTATGCTAACTATATTGTTTCCCAAGTGAATTCTGACGGTAAGGAATGCTATTGCATAACAATGTAATATCCCAGCCACCCAGAGCCACATTTTGTGGCTCTCAGCAGACACCAAGATGTACTACATAGGAGAGGACAGTTATTGCCCTCTATGAAATCTACCTAAAATATAATAAAAGTATCTCAAATATATAGAAACTTATTATAGATTTAATACTTATGAATTGTTAACCTTTCTCTTAATCTGTACTTTCAACTGGGAGTTTCTCTTAGAATTGTTTCATGGCCGGGCGCAGTGGCTCATGCCTGTAATCCCAGCACTTTGGGAGGCCGAAGTGGGTGGATCACCTGAGGTCGGGAGTTCGAGACCAGCCTTACCAACATGGAGAAACTCCATCTCTACTAAAAATACAAAATTAGCCGGGCATGGTGGTGCATGCCTACTGTAATCCCAGCTACTCAGGAGGCTAAGGCAGGAGAATCGCTTGAACCTGGGAGGCGGAGGTTACGGTGAGTCGAGATCACACCATTGCACTCCAGCCTGGGCAACAAGAGCAAAATGCCATCTCAAAAAAAAAAAAAAAAAAGTGTTTCATTTAATTACTACTACCTATGAATTTGTTTTGATTTGATCCATAATAACTGCCTTTTAAGTGGTACTAATGTTCTAGGACTTATCTATGTTGGCTCTTTTTTTTTTCTTTTAATTACAGAACTCTAGGCTTCTCATGCTTGTCAGCTCTATAGATAACATTTTACCAACTACATTATTTCTTTTAAAATGGAGAAATTAAAATACATGAAATATCTTAAGTGGGATCTAATAAAAGCTGAGCAGGATGGATTAACTACTTTCTGACTGTCATATGTCACATTTCCCAAGATTACACTAAAAAACTAGCAACAGGCCAGGCGCATGGCTAAAGCACTTTGGAAGGCCGAGGCTGGCAGATCACTTGAGGTCAGGAGTTCGAGACCAGCCTGGCCAACATGGTGAAACCCAGCCTCTACTAATAATACAAAAATTAGCCAGGCATGGTGGTATGTGCCTGTAATCCCAGCTACTCGGGAGGCTGAGGCAGAAGAATTGCTTGAACCCAGGAGGTGGAGGTTGCAGTGCCCACTGCACTCTAGCCTGGGCGACAAAGTGAACCTGTGTCTCAAAAAAAAACAAACTAGCAATAGTACTGACTTGCCCAGCTATATACCAAAATCACTAAGTGATCACTTCAGTTAAATTCTCAAGAATGAGGGCTGCTTTATTTATTTATCTTTTTAAGTCTGCTAAGATGAAAACAAATCCTTTCTACATCATGTGAAACAAAATTGGCTGGTACCATATGGCTTAATGTTCTAGAGTTCTGGAGAAATTATGCTTAACTGCAGAAAAAAAAAAAAAACCTTCATGAATAGTTTTTCAAATCTCCCCATAGGTGAAGATAAGGAAGCCAACACGAAACAAAACTACAATTTTTTAGTGAACTTTATAGTTTCCAGACAACCTTTTCCTACACTTTGGGCACCCACTCCCCACTTTAAGCAGTTGATACTACCCAGTTTTTCTTGCCAACCTCCTCACATTACAAGAGAAAGGGATCTAATCCCAATTATTTATATTATTAACATTTGTATATATAATGTGATTTCTAATGCTGCATTTAAAAAATTTTATTGAAACACCTTGTCCTTGTTTAAAATTTTTAAAATATAACCAAATGAACGAAAATTCTGAATTAAAACCATTCTTTCTTTCCCTACGCCCCTTGGTGTCCTGATGGCCAAAAACAATATACGAGAAGTCACTCTACAGTTGATAGACACTATTCCTGGGAGCTGCTAAAGACATGGCCCAAATCCCCTCTCACAAGTTTCTTGCAAAACCACAGTACTATCCTGACACCAGGATACCTCTGTTCTTTCTTGCTGTTTTCATTTGCTCTCCATTTCTGAACACAGGTACTACCTCTCCTCTAATATTGGTTAGACACTAATCTTGATTAAACCCTGGGAAGAAAAGAAAAGTATATCTCCTCACTTGTCCTTGGTAGTTGCCACGGGTTGAGGTCTTTCACATGGAAACATAGTAAGGCTAAAAGGCCTATAAAGTGATCAAAACCAAACAGGCCTTATCATGAAGCCTATGCTTCATACAGATACCTGTCATATTTATATAAACTCCTTAAAAAAACTACATTAAAAAAACAAGAAGCTAGCATAGATAGTCAATAAATGTTCTTGCTACTGTTGTTTATGCAAATGACATATTAAAATGTTAAAAATTTAAAAGTGTAAGTCATAGCAAAATTACCAATTTAATCATTCAGAAAATCTTATGTGGATTAATGATTTAAAAACAAATTCAATTTCTATCACAGGTGTGTGAACCAGAGCAACTCAATCCTGAATACGGGCTGGGTAAAATGAGGCTGAGACCTACTCGGCTGCATTCCCAGATAGTTAAGGCATTCTAAGTCACAGGATGAGACAGGAGGTCAGCACAAAATACAGGTCATAAAGACCTTGCTAATAAAATAGGTTGCAGTAAAGAAACCAGCTAAAAACCACCAAAAGCAAGATGGCCACAAGAGTGACCTTTGGTCATCCTCACTGCTATGCTCCCACCAGTGCCATCACAGTTTACAAATACCATGGCAACATCAGGAAGTTACCCTATATAGTCTAAAAAGGAAAGGCACGAGGCTGGGCGCGGTGGCTCACGCCTGTAATCCCAGCACTTTGGGAGGCCGACGCAGGCGGATCACAAGGTCAGGAGATCGAGACCATCCTGGCGAACACAGTGAAACCCCGTCTCTACTAAAAATACAAAAAATTAGCCGGGCATGGTGGCGGGCGCCTGTAGTCCCAGTTACTCGGGAGGCTGAGGCAGGAGAATGGCGTGAAGCCGGGAGGCGGAGCTTGCAGTGAGCCGAGATCGCGCCACTGCACTCCAGTCTGGGCCACAGACTGAGACTCTGTCTCAAAAAAAAAAAAAAAAAAAAAAAAAAAAAAAAAGGAAGGCATGAATAATCCACCCATTATTTAGCATATCATCAAGAAAGAACCATAAAAATGGGCAACCAGCAGCCCCCAGGGCTGTTCTGTCTATGCAGTGGCCATTCTTTTATTCCTTTACTTTCCTAATAAACTTGCTTTCACTTTACAGACTCGCCCTGAATTCTTTCTTGCTCAAGATCCAAGAACCTTCTCTTGGGGTCTGGATCAGGACCCCTTTTCTGTAATATCTCTATTAATACATACCTTCTTAACCCAAGTGAGTATATATTTATCCTTGATGTTTGCCCTTTGAGTTAACTTTTACTCAAAAGTGTCAGGCAACCGAATAATCATAGTGCCTCTAGAATATCACTTTTAGAGATCTTTATAACTGAGCGAAATACCTACTTCAAATGATATTTTAATATTAAAAATGCAGCATAAGAATGAACTTGAGCCAACTATTTCTACTGTGTGATTAAAAACTAAATATTAAGACATTCATACTATTCTGAGGTAGTATTGTTGGATATATACTGAGTACTAATATAGAATTCTTACCTGTAATGTACATGTGTGACTGTTGGTTTCCTGTATCCAAGGATCCAGGTTTGAATATCTATAGGTTCAGCTTTGGGATAAGCTATCGTTGTATCTATTATCCACTGGAGGCCTTTTGATTTGCTGTCTGAGAACAAAGAAAAAAAGACTTAAAATTAAATCAACTTTTATATTATCTGCAGCAAATAACATAGATTACTTGACCAGTGTAAGATATATCACTATACCTTTTGCATTAAGAAAAATTCTAAGGATGAACTTTGGTGCTCCTGTTCTATAACACTCTTCAGAAGAAATTAAGGATTACTTATGTTATAAAATGGATGAACCTCGAAACAAAGAACACTATTATCTACTGGACATGCACCATTCAAGTATCTGATACAATTATGCACTATGAAGGTCTAATTTATATTTAACACTCCTATAAAAAACTAACCTATGAAAAGGTCAGAAGCTAAACTCACATCACAGAAACAAAAAACAGACTTCGAAACAAAACAAAATCATTCACTAAATATAATATAATATAATATAAACACCAAGACTTATGATACTGAGGATGGGCATTAATAAATATTGGAACATGGCAACAAAATTAAGCATTCTTTATGTACACATTTTGTTGCTGCTCTTGTTTAAGACAAAGCAGGCTGGGTGCAGTAGCTCACGCCTATAATCCCAGAACTTTGGAAGGCAGAGGTGGGCGGATCACCTGAGGTCAGGAATTCAAGACTGGCCTGGCCAGCGTGGTGAAACCCCATCTCTACTAAAAATACAAAAAATTAGCCGGGTATGGTGGTGCATGCCTGTAGTCCCAGCTGTTTGGGAGGCTGAGGCAGGGCAATCACTTGAACCCAGGAGGTGGAGGTTGCAGTGAGCCAAGATCGCCATCACTGCACTCCAGCCTGGGCACAAGAGCAAAACTCCGTCTCAAAATAAATAAATAAATAAATAAATAAATAAACATAAAAAATTGGCTGGGTGCAGTGGCTCACGCCTGTAATCCCAGCACTTTGGGAGGCTGAGGCGGGCAGATCACCTGAGGTAGGAAGTTCGAGACCAGTCTAACCAACATGGAGAAACCCCATCTCTACTAAAAATACAAAATTAGCCAGGCATGGTAGTGCACGCTTGTAATCCCAGCTACTCGGGAGGCTGAGGCAGGAGAATCGCTTGAACCCAGGAGGTGGAGGTTGTAGTGAGCCGAGATCGCACCATTGCACTCCAGCCTGGGCAACAAGAGTGAAACTCCATCTCAAAAAGATAAAATACATAAAAAATAATTAATAAATAAATAAAGCAAAATATCTCCCTCAGTTTTAGCAAGAGTTATATACACAGAAAGCAATAAAGCTTCCTGCCCTTTGGAAGGTACAACTGGTGACTACTGTTGTAGAGAGAGGATGGTAAGTTCTGCTAAGTTTGATCCTTTGCACACTGTTTTTATCCCAGCATGGGGTACAAAGGTGAGCGAGAACTGAGAGGGGAAACATCACAGAGGATACTGATGGCCAGACTTTAGAGTATAATGGTCCATTCTTTATTTGAAGTATGTAAGAAATCCCTAAAAAAAGAGAACTAATTTTCAAGCATAAGTTCAAATGTGCATTAGGAATCAATGATATATTACTTTTGTATGTCAAATAATTTAAAACTGGCCTTAAATTCTGTAAAGATTTTAGAATAACATTGTGAAGGAGAAAAATATACTTGTAAAACAAGTAAAAAATTAATTTTTAAATAACATATTGCTAAATCAATGGAGTTTATGTAAAGAAACACACTTTACCAAGCTACCAATGATATACATGCTGAAATGTTTAGGAGTAAAGTATACTAATGAAGTTTATTTTTAGACACATTAAAAAATGAAACAACCAAGATGGATTAATGGATAGATAGAAGGATGAAGAGATAATCTAGTTAGTCAGCTCACAGATATCCACTGCAAAATTCTTTCAACTCTTATGTATGTTTGAAAATTTTTATAATTAAATGATGAGAAAAAACACCAAAATTCAGTTTAATATCTGTTAAATCATGTGATAACAAAAATACTAATCCTTTTAATCAGACAGAACTTAATTTTGGTATATATGTATGCATCACATATTAAACACAAAGGCATGGTTTGCGTATACATGGCATAAAATGCTAGTGAATATAAATGCAAAAGAAAATAAAATGCAAAATACCAAAATATGGAAAAGAAAATAATATAGGTAAAACTAGTTTTCAAGTACACTTATAATTTTTCTTCTAAACAGGTAGAATGAAAAGCTTTCAGGTAGGATTAAAAAATAAACTACTCTGCTTTAGTTATAAACTAGTTCTCTGTAAAAGAAAACAACCATTTTTCTTCACTATTATGCAGTCAGTATAACAACTGCCCCTACATTTGAGATCTAGACCACTACAGGGTATTGACTGGGTGGAACTATTTTAGAACAGCAGTCTTTATTAGTGCAACTAATCCTGTTTGGAAGACATTTGCCTTCAAGCTTTGGCTCGGCTGCCATTGCCACAGTGTCTCTCCAGTAGTGAAACTATTCTGAACTTTCCTTTTCTATTAAAAGACTCTTTCAATTTGTCTTTTTAATAGATGATGAAAGATTAAGAGAGCTGACTGCCAAGCAGCTGCTTGGGAAAAACAAATAAAAGGAAAACTCAGTTAAATCTGAGTTAAATCACAGACATTATTTCTACGTCTGGTCCTGATTGCCACTTAAAAACACATTGTTTCTGAGGGCCAATCATTTCAATTCTTATTTTATTTTATTTAAAGAATATGAATAGAAATAGCAAAATACTGCAAAGGAAACAGGCCTAGTGAATGCCTTTCAGCTTTCTAACTTATAATCAGACTTTCACAGTAGTATCTTAGATAGCTTGTTCAAAACAGTCTCCATGCTATGGGCACAAATATCTTCTGCAAAACTTTGTAATTTACCAGACTATCTGCAAGATAGTTGCATCTCTGAGAATGATTTGCCTTTTCCTGGTGAGAAGGTAATACATACATATTATTTTTAAAAATGGAAAATTCAGAAAAGCATTAATAAATAGAGAAAAATAATACATAATGTTACAACTCAGAAAAGCAATCACTGCTAACATTTTGGTGTCTTTCCTTTCACGCATTTCCTACTGCCTTGTTGTTTACAGACTTGAATTCAAATCGTTTTCATAAGAGTTGTATGTTTGTCCACCCTATTAACATAAGAGCACAAACGTTTTTCCAAGCCAATACAAACACTCCATAAACATCATTTGTAACAGCTGTGTTGTATTCCGTTGTATGGATATTTGATAATTACTAATCCATTCTCATTTCTGGCTAATTCCAATTTTTTGGCTATTATAAATAATTGGCTATTATAAATAATCTGTAATAAACTTCTTTGCCTGCATTTCAGATTATTTCCTTTTGATAAATATTTGCAGTGGAATAACTGAGTCATTTATTAACACTTAATGCTCTTAATACTATCAAATTGCATTAAATTAGTTCTCTGCATTAAAAACAAACAAGGCTGGACATGGTGGCTTACACCTATACTCCCAGCACTCTGGGAGGCCAAGGCAGGAGTATCACTTCAGGTTAGGGGTCTGACACTAGTCTGGTCAACACAGTGAGACCCCATCTCTACAAAACAACTAAAGAATTAGCCAGGCATGGTGGCATGTGCCTACAACCCCAGCTACTCAGGAGGTTGAGGTGGGAAGATCGCTTGAGCCCAGGAATTCAAGACTACGGTGAGCTATGATCATACCACTGCACTCCAGCCTGGACAACAGAGCAAGACTGTCTCCCAAGAAAACCCAGAAAAAAAACAAAAACAACAACAACAAGAAAAACCCCAGAAAACCAAAAAGCTTTCTCAATTTGATAAATGAAAATATGTATTATTTGATAAATGAAAAGATTAGTTTTTCAAACATGTTATTTCTATAGTTATATCTTTTAGCCTAGCAATTCCACTTCTAGGAATCTGTACTACAGAAATAGTTCCACCAATATGTAAAGATGTTTATAAGAATGTTTACTGCAGCGGTGGGAATGGCTCCGTATAAGTAGGACAGGAGAAAGATATCTTTGACTTTACGCATTTCTGTATTATTTGAGTAAATTATTATAAGCATGGACTACTTTTGTAAATGGAAACTTTTTTAAAAAATTACAGTTTCATCTTCTCCCTATTATTTTTAACAAAAATTATAAATATAAAAAAGAACAATGATCATCTTCTGTAACTCCAGAAAATCCTTTAACTCCAACAAGGTAAAAAATGCTAAAAACCATCATACCTAATTCTTTAGCATCTCCTCCTGCTGGACTTCCATTTTTCTGTTGTGCTACAAGTGCATTCAAAATAATTTTTGTTGCCCCAGACCTTGGCAGAGTAACATTTGTAAGAAATGGCAAGTTATTTTTCTTGGCAAATGCCTGACTTGTTTCTCGCCTCTTCCTGAGGAAGCCCCCTTCTGGAAACAAAACAATCCATTTTCGATCTCTGCTCCTGTAATTATTTTCTAAGTGCTTCTTGAGAAGCAGCAGCTGTTGGTCACGATAAGATCTTCCCTAGAAGGTACACACACACGTAATAAGTACAGGTATATCCAAAATTAAAATGCCATAAAATTAAACAGAAATTACAGCTTCTAAATTAAAATCCAATCACAGAATAGAATAGTGATTCCCCCACCCCACCCCAACTTACTGCCCTTTTTGACCACAGGGGTAAAAAGAGAGAAGTTATTAGCATTTATATAAATAAACCTTTCTTTCTGAAGGAAAAGGAAATTGTTCTGATTGCCCTTGAAAGTGCAGTCATTCATCAATTCAGTCACTACTTACTGAGTGCCTGCTATGTGCCACGCATTGTCCTAGGCACTAGACATAGAGGAGGAAATAAAGAGACTTTCATGGAGCTTACATTCTAGTTTGGGAAGATGGTAAATGTGGAGTGCAAATTCAACTAGTAATATGTGTTAGGAAGAAAACAGTAAAAGGATAGAAAGGGTCAAGAGGGTCAGAGAAAGCTGCTATGAGGAGGTGACATTTGAGCAGAACTGATAATGTGAGGGAATAAGTCATGTGAAGATGCAAGCCATAATATTCCAGGTGACAAAACAAAAAGGACAAAGGTCATTTGGTGGGAACGAGTATGGCATGTTCAAAGAACAGCACCAAGGCCAGTGTGGCTGAAGTGTGATAAACAAGGAAGTCAGGGGTAGGAAATGAAGCTGCAGAGGGAGGTGGAGACCAAATGAGAAAAGCCTTATGCATGGTAAGTAGTTTTGGAGAGGACATCTTTGGATAGTTTTGAACAAGGAAGTGTTATAATCTTATTTCTGTTTAAAAAAATCTGACCAGCCTGGGCAACATGGTGAAACCCCGTCTATACAAAAAATACAAAAATTAGCTGGGTGCGATGGCACATTTAGTGGTCCCAGCTACTCAGGAGGCTGAGGCAGGAGGATCACTTGTGCCCACAAGTTCGAGGATGCAGTGAGCCCTGATGGTACTACTGTACTCCAGCCTGGGTGATAGAGTGAGACCCTGTCTCAAAAAAAAAAAAAAAAAGAAAAAAGAAAGAAAATCTGCTGGTTCCTGTGACCAAAAGACCACAGGAGATAAGTTAGAAGACTTGCAGTATTCCACACAAGGGAATTTGATGAGATTCAATTATATTGTATTGATAACAAGTAGTTACATTTAGGAAAAATGTGAAAGTAAAGCTAAAAAAGACATTCTAATGGACTGTATCTTAGTTGAGAGGGAAAGAGAGAAAAGAAGATGACCTGAAGTCTAAAAAGAAGAATCCAGAAAAATTTGTAGGAAGGCCCAAAGCTTACAACTAAATATCACAAAGGTTCTTTCTTTTTTTTTTTTTTTTTGAGACAGAGTCTCGCTCTGTTGCCCAGGCTGGAGTGCAGTGGTGCGATCTCGGGTCACTGCAAGCTCTGCCTCCCGGGTTCACGCCATTCTCCTGCCTCAGCCTCCCGAGTAGCTGGGACTACAGGCGCCTGCCACCACACCCGGCTAATTTTTTTTGTTTTTAGTAGAGATGGGATTTCACCGTGTTAGCCAGGATGGTCTCGATCTCCTGACCTTGTGATCTGCCCCCCTTGGCCTCCCAAAGTGCTGGGATTACAGGCGTGAGCCACTGCGCCCAGCCGGTTCTTTCTTTCAGTGTGATCAGTTTGCCAACATTTTCCAGCCAACAAAATTACAGAAACTCCTCAAAATAATTAGTATGCTTTCAGTCTTTAGATCAAATGTATCCCAAATGCAAAACATGTAAGACATTTTGTTAGTCAGTTTGCTGAAGTGAACTGATTATGATTAAGATAGCTATTAAGTTCTCAAGATTATACGTAAAATATTTTTACTATTCTTGGAAAAGCTTGTCAAAATGGTCTAGTAGCAAAGTCTCAAGAGAATTTTTCTTTTAAACATTAATGCTTTTTCCCTTCCTTCCCCTCATGTTATAGATTTTTATTACTAATCTATCGGGGAAAAACACGTTGCTCTTTAGAAATAAATTTGTAAACTTTCCAGAAACTTCGAAATATAATCTTTATGTATGCAAAACTTCACATAGTAATCACAAGAAAATATTTTGGAGTACCTAATTTTCAACTTTTATCTAAAAGTACACCGATAATCTAGTATAATTTAGCCTCTTTTTTTTTTTTTTGAGATGGAATCTTGCTGTGTCACCCAGGCTGGAGTGCAGTGACGCAATCTCGGCCCACTGCAACCTCTGCCTCCCAGGTTCAAGCGATTCTCCTGCCTCAGCCTCCCAAGTAGCTGGGACTACAGGTTCATGCTACCATGCCCAGCCAATTTTTGTATCTTTAGTAGAAACAGGCCTTCACCATGTTGGCCAGGCTGGCCTCGAACTCCTGGCCTCAAGCAATCTGTCCACCTCGGCCTCCCAAAGTGCTGGGATTACAGGCATGAGCCACCGAGCCCAGCCCCTCTTCTTGATGCCTGATGATCATCATTAGAATCAACTGTTACACTACACTGTAAATTCAATTATTTCCTAAAGCTGGAAATGAGGTAAGGTGCTCAGCTAGCTTTTCGGATCCCTGAGACTGCTAAGCTTTCTAATTGTTGGTTCCGCTGCCTTCTCTGAGCTATTACACTAGGATCTTTGTTAAGTTGTCCTGATCAGTTTATTTTGTCTTGACCTTGTGTCCACTCCCCATTGCCACTTCTTGTGGTTCCAGGGTATGCTTATATTTGTTTCTCTGCTCAGAAGAACAAAGGATGTTTCCAAAATGAAATGATATAATGTCCAGTACATAAAACTGTCTGGAGTAAAGTACATGTGTTTTGTGACACTTATTTTCACAGAACTTAGAAGTTTCTCTACTCAATTCCAGCTTATTTCTGAATTTGTGGTTCTTGGAAAAGGCTTAATTAGATTCACCAATTATTCATTAAGTAATAATTATGTGCAAAGCACGGCACAATCCAGGTTGTTAAATATGTAAACACCAAATAACTGTGGTATTGTCATGCATAAAAGCTCGTACATACCATATTTCAGTTATCCATTCTGGTGAAAATAAAGCATATAATACTAGTAACAAGTCAAGAAAATAATGTAGTGCTGATAAGAGGCTATCATTCTTCTTCCTACACTAAACTATTCCTAATGCTTGGGACTTCCCAATTCACCTTCCTCCATCAAATCCATACCTATTCTTTAAAACTTGTGCCAAATATCATCTTCTCTGAAGTTTTTCTGGATTCACATAAAACTGATATACTTATTTTTCCTACTATGAATTCCCAAAACATCTCCCATTATTATTATTACATTAACTTATTTATTAATTTATTTAATAATCTGCCTACTAGTAATTTAGATATCTACTATATTATACAACAGTGCCTTGTAAATAAAAGTAATAGTGATACAATAGTAGTAATCAAGATAAAAATGATGATGAAGGTAGTAGGCACTGTTCTGAGTGCTTTATAGCTATTACTTCATTTAATCCCCACAACAACCATTGTGGGGGATACTACATATTATTCAAGTTTGGAAAACAAGAAACTTGAGGATTTAAATAATTTGCCCAATTCACATAGCTAAGAAACTGAATAGTGGGGAATGTTTACTAAACTAAAAATGTACCTTCTAAATGGGAGAAGAGTAGAGATTAGAATATTTGCATTTTAAGTATTTTAATACTTATCCATACTCAAATTTAGATTGAAATAAATGGTTAGGGAACAAAGATTCCGAGAAAGAGCTCCCTGAGCCTGGCACAGTGGCCAGTGGCTCACACTTGTAATCCCAGCACTCTGGGAGGCCAGGCGGGTGGATCACTTGTGGTCAGGAGTTTGAGACCCTAACCAACACAGTGAAACCCCATCTCTACTAAAAATACAAAAATTAGCTGGGCGTAGTGGCATGCCTATAGTCCCAGCTACTCCAAAGGCTGAGGCATGAGAATCACTTGAACCCAGGAAGTGGAGGTTACAGTGAGCCGAGATGGTGCCAATGCACGCTAGCCTGGGCGACAGAGCGAGACTCTGTCTCTCAAAAAAAAAAAAAAAAAAAAGCTCCCTAAGACTGGTTAGAAGCAGCCCTACCTATTATAATTGGTTTTGTTATACCTCTTTTTATAATCAAGAATCAATTTGACCAGGCTATCACTGCGGGGAAAAAGTGCTCATTACTTACCTGTCTTATAAAGAAGTCTCCATGAACTAGAGAAACAATTCCAAAGTTTGTGTACTTAAAAATATGATCCATCAACCACATCATCTGAGCAACAACCTAAAATATTTAAAAGCAAGAAATAATATTGGATAGAAGAAACCTGACTATAGTTGAGCTGAGTCTCCAAGCTTTAAATATAATCATCCAAGCATACTTTTAATTAACCAAAATATCTTAAGTCTAACTCTATTTCTACAAACAAAGCACAGTTACTAATAGTGTCTACATGAAAAATTACAGGTCTTGATTCCAAGTCTTCGAATCCTAAGTCACAGGTACATATATCACTATATAAAAAATGAAACTCAATTAACTTCTTAAATTTGGACTTAATGATTTCAAATTTGTTCTACCCCAAAGTCTCTGATAATTCTTATATAACTTACAAAATTATTTTGAAACAATATAATAAAATGGTTAAGTTATCAAACAAGACTATATATTTAATGAACATTCACTGTGGCTTTATAAAATCTGAGTGTAGCTTCATGGCAAAGTATAAAAATGTAGTGTCCCAAATAAAACATTTAAAAATTAATAGAATGATTTACATATTCTATTATGAAGAATATTTATTAGTTTATGTAAAATCATGGTCTTTGCCAGGATAAAAATATTTGTAGTGCCTCAGTCCTTAAACAGAAAAATATTATCCACTGCTGATAAGAGTTAATACCAATATTGAGGGCAGAAGACTTTCTTTCACGCAAATTTAAAAATTAAAACTACAGGCCAGGCACAGTGGCTCACGCCTGTAATCCCAGCACTTTAGGAGGCAGAGGCAGGTGGATCACTTGAGGTCAGGAGTTTAAGACCAGCCTGGCCAAAATGGTGAAACCCCATCTCTACTAAAATACAAAAATTAGCCAGGCGTGGTGGTGCGTGCCTGTAATCCCAGCTACTCGGGAGGTTGAGGCAGGAGAATTGCTTGAACCCGGGAGGCACAGGTTGCAGTGAGCCAAGATCGAGCCGCTGCACTCCAGCCTGGGTGACAGAGAGAGACTCTTTATTAAAAAAAAAAAAAAAATTAAAAGTACAAACGGGATCTAATTAATGAATCGGTTAATTGTTCTTTCCTGCTGAGGAAATAGCATTCCTTGTTATAAGCCTTAACTAAAGTGAAAGCTACAACCTCAGTCAAGAATGCAATAAGCTCTACTTTGGTTTCCCAGGGGAACAGTAGATGTAAACATCATCTCTAAGAACCAACTGATGTGAACCTACACATATGGAAAAAACTAAAACACTGATATCCATGTGCTGCTTTTATAAAAGCATTATAAAAGCCCACAGATGATATAATATTACAGCTTCTGCCTTAGTTTTCCAGCTACACAACTCCTACTCCATCAGCTTTACAATATTAAATCTTTTTTTAAAAATGAAGATATATGCCTAGTAAAGAAAGAACTGATTCCTCAATCAATTAATATAGAGTAAGATAATCACCAGCATCCCATCTTGTTTTGCTTTGCAATGATGATTACAGTACTATGTTTAAATAAGCTGAGATTTGGACTAAATGAAATTTGTTGAACAGTGTCCCCAAAACAAACAAAAAGCAGTGGATTCAACCTATAAAGCATTTTAGCTTTAGATACATTAAGAAGTGTAGTTGTAATTTATTGACTTCTGGGTTTTAAATGCCAAATAACTAGCTTTTATATTTAACCTTTCATTCATGGTGGATTTATCTCTTCAGTTAGAAGGGTCACTTAAAACATAAATTCAGTAAAGATACCCAAACTATTTCCTGAGATTTGTAAGGACAGCTCTGTTCCAACTTATTTTAGGGGAAATGTTATAAGTCAATAAATGTTTATAAAACATTTAATAAAGTTCTTTTGACAGAAATAAAAATTCTTAGTTTTATCATAAATTGTCATAAAAGGCCAAGACAATTCACAGACACTTATTATAAGGGTACCAGGCTGGGCACGATGGCTCACGCCTATAATCCCAGCACTTTGGGAGGCTGAGGTGGGCGGATCACGAGGTCAAGAGATCGAGACCATCCTGGTCAACCTCGTCTCTACTAAAAATACAAAAATTAGCCGGGTGTGGTGGCGGACACCTGTAGTCCCAGCTACTCAGGAGAACTGAGGCAGGAGAACTGCCTGAACCCAGGAGGCGGAGGTTGCAGTGAGCTGAAATGGCACCACTGCACTCCAGCCTGGCGACAAAGCAAGACTCTGTCTCAAAAAAAAAAAAAAAGTACCAACACTTTCAGAAAACACAATTAATCCTTTGTTTCATATTCTTCAAAAGAAGGATGAGTAAACATAAGCTGCCTAAATCAACTCTGTCAATGTTTGATAGGTCTGTCCCTCAGAACTTTTCCATTATTTCTAAGAGACAAAATCAATCTATATCAATTATTCTTTATCTGGATGCACAGATTTTCTACGTATCAAAACATCGTCTAGAGACTTAAATGACTGCACTCTTTCTGTCCTTTTGAAATTATAATAAGGTCAATGGTTTTCCATTGGGTGAGTATGGAAACTGCAGGATAATTTTGGTCCTTGTGACAACAAGGACTAAGGAGTGCTACTAGCATTTAGTGTGTGGCAGTTGGGTACACAAAACGTCTGGCAATGCCCAGGACAGTTCTCAGCAACACTGTTGTCCTATTAAAATGCCAACAGTACTCCCACTGAGAAACTAATGGGGGCTTCAAGAAGTCCCCTGAATTCAAAAAGCTATGTTATAATTATATTACCATCAAAGCAATATTTTTCAACTGGCCCACAATATAGCCTTCCTTATTTGAAGGTATCCATAAAGTATAAAATAAATCAAGTAAACATTCCTACTAGTGAATACAAATTATATTGCTCTGTAATTATTAGGCAGCAGGGAAAGATTATAATGCTTCCACCCTTATATTCTGTTACTCCTTTATGAAAGAAAATAAAATATTCTTCTAGATTTCAAAGTATTCAATATTATCAGAGCATTATTTAGTATTAACTAATCTCAAAATAAAAAAAAATTACTTGGGATAGAAAAATGAACCTAGCCTAACTAACTTAAATATTTTTATAAAGGCAAACAAGCCAACCAAACTTTCTTTTGTCCACATGACTGGGGAATTTTAAATTACCTAATATTCTAGTTAATACAGTTATCATCTATGCCAAACTGGTGTTAGAATACAGTTAGACATATTTATATTGACCATTTTAATCACGAGTTTCAAAAAACACTTAAGGACATTGTAGGCCCTCAGGATAATCACTATAAATGTAATGATCCTATCTGTAAGAGTTACAATGTTAACTAATTGGAGATTCTCTTTTATAGAAAGCCAAATCAACTAGTTTTGCAAAATTTTAACGTCATGAACTTAGAGGACAGGCAATAAATATTATTATAAATGCAAATATATCTACATGGTGATACTCTTAACAATTCAAGATCCTGAATCTAAGAAAGGATTTAATTTTTCCACATTCCAGTGAGATTATCCCTCTGCTTTTCAGATAGACAAGAAAAACAGATTCTGCAATAATAAAACATATTTTTATTTAATCTCCTCTCATTTTCTGACCCTACCCTAACCTAGTGAATCAAAATCTCTGGAACCTAAACACACCAGGGCTTATTCTCACTTTGATGTTTTTGCCAAGATTGTTTCATTAAGAAAGAAGTCCTTGCTTTACCAGTCTACCTAAATTCTACTCATCCTTCAAGGCCAAGTTTATGTCCTCTCCCCTTCATAAAGTTTTCTATGTCCATGAGGTACACAGTGCACTTACCCTCCACTGAAGCCATCTCACTTGTCAATTAAGTATTGTTTATGGCTCATGCCTGTAATCCCAGTACTATGGGAGGCCAAGAGTGGGTGGATCACCTGAGGCCAGGAGTTTGAGACCAGCAGCCTGGCCAACATGGCGAAACCCCGTCTCTACTAAAAATACAAAAATTAGCCAGGCATGGTACCCGTGCCCATAGTCCCAGCTGCTTGGGAGGCTGAGGCACAAGAATTGCTTGAACCCAGGAGGCAGAGGTTGCAGCAAGCCAAGATTGTGCCACTGCACTCCAGCCTGGGCAACAGTGCAAGACTCCATCTCAAAAAAAAAAAAAAAAAAACAAACAAACAAAAAAAAAAAACAAAAAAAAACATTGTTTGTGATACCCTTCTTCTACCTGCCACTAGGCTGTCAGCACCTTGATAAGATGAATTGTATCTTACAGGATGGTGTTTACACTTCCTATAGTCACTGATCATAACTACTAAGCCCTTAATGAACTTCCATTAGGTCACACATTAACTCCATTAATTTATACACCTTATTTAGTTTTCTATGAACATAACCTCTTTAACTTCTAAGGTGATAATTCTCCTAAGGCTAAAGACTGAATTTATTTTTTAAATCCACTCAGTTTATAAATATTTATTCTATCATAAGCAATATTCCCCCAATCTTTTGTTTTAGAGATGGGGTCTTGCTGTGCTGCCCAGGCTGGAGTGCAGTGGCTCTTCACAGGCATGATCCCACTACTGATCAGCACAGGAGTTTTGGCCTGCTCCATTTCCACCCTGGGCTGGTTCACCCTTCTTGTGTGACCTAGTTGTTCACTGCTCCCAGGAGGTCACCATATTTATGCTCAACTTAGTGCAGACTGCCTATCAGCATAGAGAACTACAGCCCAAACTCCTGGGCTCAAGCGATCCTCCTGCCTCAGCCTCCCGAGTAGCTGGAACTACAAGTGGCACCACTGTGCCAGGCTAAAGCTGCTTTTTGTGTTTGTATTTTTCAAACTAGCAATCCACTGCTTCACCTCCAGACAGCCCTCAATTTGAACTATATTAACCTGCTTTCCTCCCAGTTACTATTTTTTAAAACAGTCTTATTGAAATATAATTCACATTGTCCCAGTTTTTTTTTTTTTTTAAGTCTCTACATTCCCACTTCTGGGTGACTTAGAATGATATATTTTTTCTTTTAATATTTTCTAAATTTTTATTTAAAGTATACATATTAAAGTCTATGTCTATATTTCAAAGCACAGTAAGATATTTGAATTGATTCCCTTTTTTTTTTTTTTTTTTTGAGATGGAGTCTTGCTCTGTTGCTAGGCTGGAGTACAGTGGCGTGATCTCGGCTCACTGCAATTTCTGCCTCCCGGGTTCAAGCAATTCTCTTGCCTCAGCCTCCCGAGTAACTGGGACTACAGGTGCACACCACCACGCCCAGCTAATTTCTGTATTTTTAGTAGAGATGGGGTTTCACCCTGTTGTCCTGGATGGCCTCGATCTCTTGACCTCATGATCCACCCACCTCAGCCTCCCAAAGTGCTGGGATTACAGACATGAGCCACCATGCCCGGCCAAATGGATTCCTTTTTAACCTTCCTTTCTGGATGTCTATCTACTGCCTTCAGGGTAGCTTACCAGTCCTTTGTCCTGGAGGCACATCATCAGTGTGCACACATCTCCTGTTGCCTGATGATTCACCAACATCACTGCTTCATCTTTTGAAACTGCTTTAATATCTTCTCCCCATTCCATCACTGTAAGAACAAAAAAGTTTCAAAGCTGTCATTTTAAAGATTTTTATATTATCACAAACCTTATATTAGAAAAAATGATGTATATTAATGATGATATGTCACCTAGCTAAAACATCCGAAAGTTTAGAACTAAGTTTATTTCCTGTGCAAATCAGAATGTTAATATAACTTTTATAGAGCCCCCAAATATACATTAAAATATAAAATTATCATTATTTATTTATTTATTTATTTATTTATTTATTTATTTATTTATATTTGAGACAGAGTCTAGCTCTGTCACCCAGGCTGGAGTGTAGTGGTGCGATCTTGGCTCACTGCAACCTCTACCTCCCGGGTTCAAGCAATTCTCCTGCCTCAGCCTCCCAAGTAGCTGGGATTACAGGTGCACACCACCACGCCCAGCTGATTTTTGTATTTTTAGTAGAGATGGGGTTTCACCATATTGGCCAGGCTGGTCTCAAACTCTTGACCTCAAGTGATCCACCTGCCTTGGCCTCCCAAAGTGCTGAGATTACAGGCGTGAGCCACTGTGCCCAGCTATGGTCATACCTTTGATCTAGAAGTTCTATTTCCTAGAATTTATCCTACAGAAACTTGTTCAAATAAGCAAAGATATATGTATAAAGAATGTTTATCACAACTTAAATGTTCACCAACAAGGGAATGGACAAGAAAATTATGATGTAATAGGAGAGTATAAACCCGTTAAAATAATGGAGGATATCTCTTATTCACTAACCCAAAAAAGATGTATTATCAACTAACAAAGCAAATCACAAAACAGTAAATATAGCATGATCCCATCTTTTTAAAGCAGGAATACCATCCATGTGTTGTTCAATGCACTGAAAAACGTCTAGAAAAATAAATTTCAAACTGTTAATACCGATCATCAATGAGAGGTGGTTCCCAACCCTTCAGATTCTATTTTATAAGAAAACATTCAGACATAATAATGCATACTTTCACCTTAAAATAATAAAACTAATACAAATGCCAAATTATTTGAAGTTATCAGATGAAAAGTCACTGCGCCAAAATCTATACGTACATTCTAAGGGAAACAGTGGTATTTCTATGTAGTTATGCCTCATTTCATTTTATATTTATTTTTAACTTTTTTGAGACAGGATCTTGCTCTGTTACCTTGGCTGGAGTGCAATGGTGCAATCACAATGGCTCACTGCAGCTTCAAGCTCCCTGGGCTCAGTGACCCTCCTACCTCAGCCTCCCAAGTAGCTGGGACTATACAGGTGCATGTCACCAAGTCCAGCTAACTTTTGTATTTTTTTTGTAGACACAGGGTTTTGCCATGTTGCCCAGGCTGATCTCAAACTCCTGGGCTCAAGCAATCCACCGGCTTCAGCCTCTCAAAGTATTGACATTACAGACATGAGCCACTGCACTCGGCCACCTCATTTTACAGTAAATTTATGTCAAGCCTCAGTTTTCAAACATCAGAATTCTGCAAAGAATCTTCTAGCATTTTTTGATATGAATTATCAAAGGCCAATTCTACATTAGTATTCTTTACCCTAACCTTATCTCACTCACTGCTGCAAGGAAAGAATTCAAGCCACCTGTGTGTAAAAGCTCAGGATGAAATAGGGATAGGGAGACCTGTTTAGAAGCCAATTTTGCACTATATTTCAAAATTAATAAATGCACAAACCTTTTTACCTAGGAATTCTACTTCTAGAAATGCATCCTACAGATATACTCATTTATGTGCAAAATGACATGTACACAAGGCTACTCACTGCAGCTTTGATTGTAAAAGCAAAGATGAAAACAACTAGAAAGAGAAGCTAACTCAAATTCATAGAAATGGTGGTTGCCAGGGGCTGGGGGAGGGGGAAATTGTTGTTTAATGAGTACAGTGTTTCAGTTTTACAAGATGGAAAAGTTTTAGATATCGGTTCCACAACAATGTGAATATACTTAACAAGACTGAACTGTACACTTGAAAAATTAAGATGGTGAATTTTATGTTAGCGTATTTTACCACAATTAAAAACATTTTTAAGGGAGACTACCTAAATAAATTATATCTATGCAATGGAATATTATGCAAACATAGCACTTATGTACTAAGATGAAATGATATACTTTAAGTAATAAAAGCAAAGTGTAGAATAGGATGATGGATGCCACTAGTTGTGTTTTTTGTTTGTTTGGTTTTTTTGTTTTTGAGACGGAGTTTCGCTCTTGTTGCCCAGGCTGGAGTGCAATGGCGTGATCTCAGCTCACCGCAACCTCCGACTCCCAGGTTCAAGCGATTCTCCTGCCTCAGCCTCCCAAGTAGCTGGGATTACAGGCATGCGCCACCACGCCCGGCTAATCTTGTATTTTTAGTAGAGACGGGGTTTCTCCATGTTGGTCAGGCTGGTCTTCAACTCCCAACCTCAGGTGATCCGCCCACCTCGGCCTCCCAACGTGCTGAGACTACAGGCCTGAGCCACCGCGCCCAGCCTAGTTATGTTTTTAAAAAGGACAGAGAATATACTAACCAAATGAAAACTCCCCATATGCCCCTGTTGACAACCCTCCAATGGAGACACACGGACATACAAACACACAAACACACACACACATGCACAACATTCTTTCATTAATACAATCTTCATTCAATAAATCAGCATCAGGCATGGTTAGGTGTTGTGGATATAAAATAAGTAAGAACATTTCAAGTATTATTCTAAAGTGAACAGCAGTTAAAACTCAAGAAAAGTCTAGCTTGGTTCTATAAATAGTGGGCTATTAAGAGGTAATGTGGACAGTTTTCTGGCTCTCCATCTGTATTAATAGATGTCTCATCACCAAATAGTCCTTTAACGCAATCTGTGCTACATGAGTGGAAAATACTAGATACCTAGGCCCATGCAGTGGGAAGGCATATATGTCAATATAACTGCAAATAAGAATAAGTTTTTACATAAAATATATCTTACCTGTTTGCTTTATATAAATCAGATAAATCTAGTAAGTGTGACTGGTTTAAATATGAAAACATAAATTGAATTTGGAACCCTCTGTACTGGGTTGAACAGTATACTCCAAAAATTCATGTCCCCCCAAAATCTGTGAATCAAGATGAGGTCATACTGGATTAGGGTGGGCCCTAAACCTAAATCCAATAAGACTGGAGTCCTTATAAGAATAGGAAAATGTGGGTCAGAGAGACACACAGGGAGACCACCACGTGATGACAGAGGCAGAGATTGAAGTGACGCACCTACAAGCTGAGGGACACCAAGGATGGTGGACAACCACCAGAAGAAGCTGGAAGAGGCAAGGGAAGAGCCTCCCTGAGAGTCTTTCGAGAGAGCATGGCCCTGCTGACGCCTTGATTTCAAGACTTCTAACTTCCAGAACTGTGAAAGAATAAATATCTGCTGTAAAACCCACTTTGTGGTAATTTGTTATGGCAGCCCTAAGGAATTAACATAACCCCTCCCTCAATTTTCCCCATCCTCTCTCTTCCCTTTCCATTCTATTTTCCCCAAAATTATAGTCTTTCTTTTCTTATCAAGTATAGGAAAAGAATTGCATTATCTTTTAATATTCAGCACATTATATATAATCTAACATTATGTATTATAAATGGTTTTTAATTTTCACTTCTAAATACTTTCAGAAATTATACTTTAAAGTATAATTATTAAGAGTTAATCCACTACATGTTTTATCTCTCAATCAGAACTTAGCCAAAATTTATTTTCAGACCAAATGTCAATTTACCAAGACTCACATAGCATGCTGAATCAAAAAAGTGAAGGTGGTCAGGTGTGGTGGCTCACGTCTATAATCCCAGCACTTTGGGAGGCCAAGGTGGGTGGATCACTTGAGGTCAGGAGTTCGGGACCAGCCTGGCCAACATGGTGAAACCCTGTCTCTTCTAAAAATTACAAAAATTAGCAGGTGTGGTGGCATATGTCCGCAATCCCAGCTACTTTGGAGCCTGAGGCACAAGAATCGCTTGAACCTGGGAGGCAAAGGTTACAGTGAGCCAAGATTGAGCCACTGCACTCCAGCCTAGGTGACAAAGCGAGACTCTGTCTCAAAAAAACAAAACAAAACAAAATGAAGGTACCTAGATCAACTTTTCTTTCCTTTTCTTTTTTTTTTTTTTTTTTTGAGTCAGGAACTCCTGGGCTGAAGCAATCCTTCTGTCTCAGCCTCCCAAGGTGCTGGGATGACATGCATGAGCCACCACACCCAGTTTGGATCAACTTTTTGCCAAGAAATTATCCTGAGGTAGCAATAAGGTCGTGTTGAATTTTATAATAATTCTAATTTTATTCAACAACAAATTTAATTTCCAATATATATGGTATTCTTCTTTTAGAGCATAATTTAAGGACCACTATTAGAAAGTTAAATGACCAACAAAATCAGTATTAAAATGTTTGTAGTGAAAGAGCAATTTATTACACAGATGAAGTAGCTATGCTCCTCAGATTATGCCTTGCTATTCCAGGACCAGTAAATATAGTAATAAAGCTAATATCTTAACCAAGGGATAGAAAAGAAATTATGGATGTCTACAGTTCTTACACTGCACTTGATTAGAAGAACAAAAATATTCTAACACGCTGCTCTATGAAATGAATTCTCAAAAAAGAATTGGGTCAGGTCCACTATTTCCAAAGGGAAAAAGGACAACTGAATAAAAACTGGAGGAAAAATTTTCTAATTGTAATAAATTTTAAAATTCTTATTGAAAACCAAAGCTAAAGGTTATCATCTACTACATACACACAACACACACACATACACACACACATTCTAACATGTATATCAATATACTTTTCCCAAAAGTTATAGATTAGAATTAATCTGGACAGTTCACATCTCAAAAAGAAAATAGAAACAACCCATCAAAAACTCCTTAACAACAGTGACACTAAAGCCATTATACTGGCCTACAAAACAGAATTAACAGAGAGAAGAAAGGTTGCTTATTATGCCCGCAAGCTGATGCAACAAACTATTTTATCCTTCTGTGTCTTCATTTTCTCACTTATGAAACAATAATATCATTAATGCTACGTAAACATGTTGCAAAAATGAGGAAGATCTAATTGACAGTACCATAGAGATCCTGAGTAATGGGATTAAAGTCACTTTTGGAATCACTAGTAACTAAAAGAGCCCTATGCCTACTGTGTCATATGAAAATCAGTCTAATAGTAAAGATTAAAGAGCCAGCTGGGCACAGTGCCTCATACCTGTAATCCCAGCACTCTGGGAGGCCGAGGCAGGAGGACCCCTTGAGGCCAGGAGTTCAGGACCAGTCTGGGCAACAAAGTGAGATCTGTCTCTATAAAAAAATTTAAAATTAGCTGGGTGTGGTGGCATGTACCTGTGGTCCTAGCTACTCTAGGGGCTAAGGCAGAGGATCTCTTGGGCTCAGAAGCTCAAGGCTGTAGTGAGCTGTGATCATGCCACTACACTCCAGTCTGGTTGACATATATAGACACTCTCTCTAAAAACAAACAAACAACAACAACAAAAAACAAATAAAAAATTAGAGAGCCAAAATAATCCATAAGTGAATTTCACATAGCTGGAGAACTGTGGCTTTCAGCAGTCCAGGTTTGAGGCAGACAGGATTGGATTCATCCAAGGGAGGGTGTTAGTTCATTAAAAGTGGCCATGAGAGAGTGGCTTAAAGTACTGATTAATGGAGTGGAGACTGGTGAGGAAAAGCAGCCTTGCAAACAAACAGCTGACTACCTAGAAAAGAGAGGGAGGGAGGGCAATCATACATAGAGATGCTGATGCCACCCCCATCTCCATAACATTCTAGTCAAGCTTCCCAAGGGAAGGCCCAGACTTTTGAAAAACCTCCTAATACATACTTCTAAATAAGAACCACTGGAATTGAAGTGCTGATAAGTTTAATTTTATTTTTTTTTAAGCAAGTACATTGTACACACTAGGAAATCATGGTCAGTGTCCCTTTGACTCTTAAATTTTAAGAGGTTAAAATTTGAGAAAGCAAGGCTCAAGAGGTAGCTTTTGGAGGGGTTACATAACTAAAATAATAATAGTAGCAGATATTATTAAATAGATATATAAATAATAATCTTAATAGCTAACATTTATGGAATGTTTATTATGTGCCATGCACTAGTACTTAGTAATAGAAAATAATTTACATTATTTTCTGATTTAATCTTCACAAAATTCCAAATATGCAGATAGTATCATCCCCAATATGCAAATGAGGAAAATGAGGCACAAAAGGTTAAGCACTGTTTTCAAACTTACATAGTTAGGAAGTAGGGGAACTGGGATTCAAAACCACAATATCATATTGTCACTGCTGGCATGCTTCATGTCAAAGAACCTTAAGGACAGGAACTTGGATAAATGCCCTTGCAGCCCCTAAAGTTGCCCATGATTATGCCAGGGAATAGGGTGGACAAGCCAAGTCCCAAAGTCCTCAACAAATAAGGATGGTGGATGGCAACAATAAGGAGGGGTAGAGAGGTATATAGCCAAATAATCAAGCATTTTTCTCAATGACAGTTGAATAATAACCAGGTCTAAAGGGGCAGGTATCTAAGAAAAAAAATCAACATTGTCTTTGGACCCAGATGGGATTGTCTTAAATATAATATGCTCAATACAGAACTGGCTCTTTTCCCTAGTCTTCCCCATCTTAGCAAAGAACACTGCTGTTCACCCAGTCATCTGAAGATGAAACCTAAGACTATCTTTCATTTCTCCCTTTCCTTAATCTTCCACATTCAATCCATCTCTAAGTCCAGTGGACTCTACCTTCAAAATACATTCAGATCCTCTATTTTTCTTCTTCTTACTACTACCATTCTTTATTATTATTATTATTGAGACAGAGTCTCGCTCTATTGCCCAGGCTGGAGTGCAGTGGCACAATCTCGGCTCACTGCAACCTCCACCTCCCAGGTTTAAGTGATTCTCCTGCCTCAGCCTCCCGAGTAACTGGAACTACAGGTATGTGTCCAGCTAATTTTTTTTTTTTTTTTGTATTTTAGTAGAGATAGGGTTTCATCATGTTGGACAGGTTGGTCTTGGTGATCTGCCCACCTTGGCCTCCAAAGTGCTGGGATTACACGTGTGAGCCACCATGCCTGGCCCTCTCTACTACTACCATTCTAATCCAAGCCACCAATAACTCTTGCCTAGACTTCTGCAATGACTTCCTAACTAGTCTTCTTGCTTCCACTCCGCCTATCTATGTAAAACAAATCTTTAGAATTCCAATTTCAAATATCATTAAAATCAGAAACACCACTGTCAAGCATGAATTAGGGAAGAGCAGGAAAATCAAAGATAATAACTGGGAATTAACTTTCACTGTCATTAAGATTTAGTTTAAGTTAAACTTGTACTGTTTTCAAAAGGGGAGCTAGTGGCATTTTGGGTGAAGCAATTCTTCCCCCTACAGCTCATCAGTACTGCAAAACTTTTAGCTTGCCTGGCCAATAGTCTGTTACAATCCAAAAGGTAATTCCAAACATCCTGACTCCACCCCAATCTCCTTTGAGAAGCACTAAGTTAAAATTATGTCAATATAAGCCTGTGGTAAAATCAGGGTGAGGTTAAATAACAAGTGAGAATCATCCTAACAACATTAGGACTAAATAAACACACGTTTATAGCAAACAAAGATCCATCTCTATGATTCCCTTCCCTTCACCCACTAAGCTCCCAGGATATGGCAGCCAAGAGTTTGGAACAATCTCCTCTAGGGAATTTGATCACCTCAAGAGGAAAGACCTAAAAATACTGACATTTGGGGTTCCCCAGTGAAATATTCCAATAAGATTACCCTACAGTGAGGCTCAATGTTGATAAGCCACAGCCACTTGCTTGGCTACAAATCAACATTTTAATCTCTCACTCTTAAAACAAGAACAGACAGTTGAAGGGGATGAGAAAAGCAGATGTGTGAAGGGCTCTATGTTATCCCCACTTCCAGCTTGAAACAAGGCATAAACTCCCCATGCAAAAGTTACCCTCCTGATACTAGGAAGAAAAGAATATTCTTATCACCAGGAATGGGGAGTCAATGCAGGGATGAGTCTGCACAACAAACCGTACTAAAATAATCCTTTCCTTCCATTAGTTTCCCCCATGTAGTTCCTAGTCACTTTCCTACAATTTGCCACCCTTAGAAACTCAAAACCCTTTCCTTCATCCAGTCATTTCTCTTCAATTTATTACCCTTTGTTAAAATGGTATATAAAGCCAGGCTTGGTGACTCACACCTGTAATCCCAGCACTAAGGCCGAGGTGGGAGGACTGCTTGAGCCTAGGAGTTCAAGATCAGCATGGGCGACAAAGCAAGACCTCATCTCTACAAAAAAAATTTTTAAAAGAACTTAACTGGGCATGCTTATAGTCCTAGCTATTTGGGAGGCTGAGAAGGGAGGATCACTTGAGCCCAGGAGTTCAAAGCTACAGTGAGCTATAATCACGCCACTGCACTCCAGCCTGGGAGACAGAGCGAGACCCTGTCTCTTAAAAAAGGGAAGGGGAGGGGAGGGGAAGAGAGGGGAGGGGAGGAGAAAGAAAAGAAGGGAAAAGAAAAGAAGAGAAGAGAAAAGAAAAGAAATGGCACGGTGGCTCACTCCTGTAATCCCAGCACTTTGGGAGGCTGAGGAGGGTGGATCACTTGAGGTCAGGAGTTCGAGATCAGTCTGACCAACATGGTGAAACCCCATCTCTACTAAAAAAAAATTTTTTTTTAAATTAGCCAGGCATGGTGGCACACACCTGTAGTCCCAGCTACTTGGGAAGCTAAGGCAGAAGGATTGCTTGAAACTGGGAGGTTAAGGTTGCAGTGAGCCAAGATTGCACCACTGTATTACAGCCTGGGTAACAGAGTGAGACTCTGTCTCAAAAAAAAAAAAAAAGAGAAAAAAAGAAAGAAAGAAAAAGGTATATAAAATCCTGAATCTAAATGCTTCTTTGGAGTTTTCACTTCTTTTCTATGAAGCCCCCTGTGCCACATAAAAAATGCTAACATCAAATAAAATGTGTATGCTTTTCTCTTATCAATCTGTCTTTTGTTAGCCTAATTAGGCTAACAAAACAGGCGATAGCTACGAAACCTGAGGGCAGAGGAAAAGTTTTTCCTCCCCTACATAGTCATGTATTGCCGGAGACCTGAAAAAGGCTGTTAATGTGAAAGAGAGCAAAGCAAACAGAAAAATAAAGAATCTGAGGAAACAGAGGCATTACACAAAAAAGAAAACTTCAAGAGACCAGCATTAATATCTATATTGAGGTAAGAGATGAGATGATGATAATAACCATGAGACAAGAATAAGAAAAAAAAGGACCTGCTGGAAATTAACATAATTGTAAAAATAAAAGTCTCAATAGAAAAACCGAGAGATAAAGTTGAGATAATCTTCCAAACACGAGATTTAAAAACAAGATGAAAAACAAGAGAAGACTTGAACATTAGAAGACAATTCCACAAAATCCAGCCTTCAAATAACAAGAGTTCCAGAAAAAAGAACAGAGAAAAAGAAATCAAAGATGTAGTTAAAGAGCATTTGAGGGTGTGGATTTCCACTCTGACATGGGACATCAAATGGCTAGCACAGTGGATAAAAACAGACCTATACCAAGACATACATCCCCATGAAATTTCAAAACAATAAATCAAAGAGAAGAGCCAACAAACTGTCAGAAAGGAAAAAGAGGACACATATAAGGATAAGGAATCAGATTAACTTGGAATTTCTCAATAGCTTCTGAAAGCAAAAAATATTGTAGAGATTATTATTAAAATAATAATGACTTCAAAATTGTGAAGAAAGGCTGGTCTAAAGGTAGTGAGTTATTTCAACTGATTGTTCACAAAGACTGAACTTGTTTTCCTCACTACTGCACTTGACCTGGGGAAAAAAAAAGAGAAAAAAAAATTCCAAAGAAAAACTACTTTCAACCCAGAATTCTCCACCCAGCCAAATAACCAATCAGGTGCAAGCACAGAAAAATATTTTCAAGTGTGTGACATTTTGAAAAATTAACCTCTTGCTCTCATGAAGATATTGGATGGTATGTTTCACTAAAATGAGAAATAAACCAAGAAAGAGAAAGACATGTGAAAAAAGAAATTGGGAACACAGCCAAGGAGACAGGCAAAAAGGATTTTCAGGATGATAGGGAAGGAAGATAATCAGGATGTCGGCTGTATACCAGGCTTAGTGGATAACCAGTCCAAATTGGAGCAAGTTAGGCACTTCCCAGACAGACTTTCCAAAAAAGATGAAATTGGCAGAGTAGCATCTGAATGACTTAAGAGGAGATCTAAAAATGAAAAGGAGTTGGGGGTGAATTAGTGATCATTTCATACCAAAGCAAGCAAAAGAAGAAACAAAAATTATTAAATCTAGGAACAACTCTGTGCAGGAAAGTAAAAGTGAACAGTTTTATACATAGCTCAGCTCTGAGTAGATTTACATCTTCATAATAAAGAAAAACTCCAAATACTGACACTACCAAAATTACAATAAAATTCAAATACAAACTAGAAAATGTATTTATTTTTCAGTTTTTCTTTCTTTTTTTTTTTTTTTTGACACAGTCTTGCTCTGTCACTCAGACTGGAGTGCAGTGGCACAACCTTGGCTCACTGCAGTCTCCACCTCCCATGTTCAAACAATTCTCCTACCACAGTCTCAAGAAGCTGGGACCGCCAGCATGCATGACGAAATACAGCTAATTTCTGTATTTTTAGTGGAGATGGGGTTTTGCCATGTTGGCCATGTTGGTCTCAAACTCCTGACCTCAGGTGATCTGCCTGCCTCGGCCTCCCAAAGTGCTGGGATTACAGGCGTGAGCCACCACACCCAGCCCTCAAAATTGGCTTATTTTTATTTTTATTTTTGAGGTTGGGTCTTACTCTGCTACCCAGTTTGGAGTGCAGTGGCACAATCAAAGCTCACTGTAGCCTCAACCTCCCGAGCTCAAATGATCCTCCTGCCTCAGCCTCCACCACCATGCCCTACTAATTTTTTTTTACTTTTTGTAGAGACAGGGTCTCGCTTTGTTGCCCATGCTGGTCTCAGATTCCTGGGCTCAAGCGATCCTCCCACCTTGGGCTCCCACAGTATTGGGAATACAGGTGTGAGCCACTACACCTGACAAAAATTTATTTTTAAAATATTATTTTAAATAGGTTTCTAAAAAGATAAGGCTTTCTGAATATTAAAATAACATACATTCATTGTAGTAAATCAGAATACTAAAAAACACAAGGCAGAAAATTACCCCAAATCTCACTATCCAGGGATAAGAAAACACTATTAAAATTTTATAGTATATCTTCCAGTTATTTTTCTCTGTGTATAAAGACAATTTTTTAAATCAAAAATGAATGATTCTTAAATTCTGTTTTATACAATTTGAAATTCAATATATCATATAAAATTGGCTGTCATTATTCTCCCACAATATGATTTTTAATGGCCACATAATAATGTATTACATGTAAGTGCAGAGATTAGTTAGTTCTCTAATGTTGGGTCCTGGCTATTGATTACAGTAAAGTGCTAGACCAATAAGTATACAAACCAAAGAACTAATGGGTGTGTGTTACAAAAAGTACTATGACTTTCCTAAAATAAAGAGTAAAAATATTCCTACCCACAAACGTTAAGTCACAAAAGCAAATAAATCAAAAGTATAAAAATTTAGGAGGTAATGGGACTGTGGTAGTGGTCATATAACTGCACATTGTAGAAGACATGAAGACTTTTAAAAATGTTCTTCAAGCCAGCCATTGAATAAATTCATAGAGAAACTTAAAATTGGGGGGATGTAAATAAGTTCCAGATTGACAGAATACTAAATACCAAAGAATCAAAAAACAAAATACCAAAGTCAAAAGCAAACACAGAAATCAATGAAATGAAAAAAAAAATGGAGAAAATCAATGAAAGCAAAAGTGACTCTTTGAAAAGGCCAATACAAGTTATCAAATTAATTTTTAACCACAAAAAAACACAAAAACCATAAATCACCAATAACAGGAATGAAAGAGAAGACATCACTACAAACGTTCCTTGATTTATCATGGGGTTCCTGATAAACCCATCGTAAGTTGAAAATACAGCAAGTCAAAAATGCATTTTAACACAAAGCCTATTTTATAATAAAGTGTTGAATATCTCATGTGATTTATTGAATACGGTACTAAAAGTGAAAGACAGAATGGTTGTATGGATACAAGCATTACTGAATGCATGTCACTCTCATCCCATCATAAAGTCAAAAAATTGTAAGTAGAACCATGAAAAGTCAGGGACCATCTGTACTATGAACTACTTTAGAAACTATAAATTTGACAACTTAGGTGAAATGGACCAATTCCTTGAAAACCACAAATTACTATCAAAACTCATCTAAGATGAATAGATAACCAATTTCTATCAAAGAAATTGATTTTATAGTTAAAAACCTTCCAAAAATAATTTGGCCCAGATGGTTTCACTGGCATACTCTACCTGACATTTCAAAAAAGAAATAATACAAACTGTATGCAATCTCTTCCAGAAAACAGAAAAGGAAGGAATGCTTTCAAGTTTATAAGGCCAGTATTGCCCAGATACCAAAACCAGAAAAAGACAAGCAAACAAAAGCTACAGACTAAAACCATCATGAATAGAGGCAAAAATTATCAATAGAATATTAGCAAATGGAATCCAACAGTATATACCATGACCAAGTTAGGTTTACCCCAGGAATGCAAGGCTGGTCCAATATCCAAATATCAGGCCGGGCGCAGTGGCTCATGCCTGTAATCCCAGAACTTTGGGAAGCCAAGGTGGGTGGATCACTTGAGGTCATAAGTTCGAGACCAGCCTGGCCAACATGGTAAAACATCATCTCTACTAAAAATACAAAAATTAGCCATGTGTGGTGGCACACGCCTGTAGTCCCGGGTACTTGGGAGGCTGAGACACAAGAATTGCTTGAACCCAGGAGGCAGAGGTTGCAGTGAGCCGAGATTGAGCCACTGTATTACAGCCTGGGAAACAGGGCGAGGGTCTGTCTCAAAAAAAAAAAAAAAGAAAATCAATCAATATAATTCACCACATTAACTGTCTAAAGAAGAAAACCTTCCACAGCAATAAAAAAAAAAAGAATGAAATCATGTCCTCTGCAGCAACATGGATACAGCTGGAAGCCATTACGCTAAGCAAATTAACACAGAAACAGAAAATCAAATACCGCATGTTCTCACTTATAAGTGGGACCTAAACATTGGATATGCACAGACACAAAGATGGGAATGGTAGACACTGAGGACTCCAAAAAGGGATGGGATGGAGGAAGGGGGAAAGGATGGAAAAGCTACCTATTAGGTACTGTGTTCACTACCTGGGCTAGAAACCCAAACTTCAGCATCATGCAATATACTCATGTAACAAACCTGAACATATACCCTCTGAATCAAAAATTTAACAAATAAAATTTTTTTAAAAAAGAAGGTCTCATGATCATATGAATTGACGCAGAAAAAGCATTCAATAAATTTCAGTATCCATTCATCATAAAAACTCTCAGCAAACTAGGAGTAAAAAAATTTCCTCAGTGTGATAAAGTTTTAAACGTAAAACCTACAACAAACATAGTATTTAGTAGTATTTAGAATGCTTCTCCCTAAGATTAAAAATAAGGCAGAGATGTCCACTCTCATCACTCTTATTTAATATTATACCAGAAGTCCTAGCTAGTTTAATAAGAAGAAACAAAAAATGGGAAAGGAAGAGATAAAATTCTTATTCACAAATGACATGATTGCCTATGTAGACTATCTTAAATGATTTACAAAAAACGCCTATTCCCAATAAGTGAGTTTAGCAAAGTTGCAGGATACAAAACTGACATAGCTATCAATCATATTTATTTATATGAGAAATGAACAACAGGAAATTGAAATTTTTTAAAAATACTATTTACAAAAGCTCCTCCCCAAATGAAATACTTAGGTATAAATTTAAAACACATGAACAAGATCTATATACTCAAAACTACCAAACGCTGAGAAAGAAATCAAAAAAGCTCAAAATGAAGAGACATACTATGGTTATGGATTAAAAGACTCAACATAGCAAAAATGTCTATTCACCCACAACTTGATCTACAAATGTAACTCGAAGCCAGTCAAAACTGCATTAAAAATTTTTGCACATAAGTGAATTTTAAAATGTATATAGAAAAGTCAGCAAACTAGACTAGCCAAAATAACTTTGAAAAAAAAATAAAGTTGGAAGAATCGCACTACCCAGTTTTAAAACTTACCATAAAACTACAATAATTAAGATGGTGTGGCATTGGTGAAGGGACAGACACATAAATCAACAGAACAGAAAAGAGGATCCTGAAATAGACTACGTAAGTATGGTCAAATGATCTTTGACAAAGATGTAAAGTCACCTGAATGGAAAAAGAATAGTCTTTTCAACAAATAATGTTGCAAAAAAAATGTGAACCTTGACCCAAACCTCATACCTGATAGAATGATTAATTCAAAATGGATCACAGAGATGTATGTAAAATGCAGAACTATAAAACTCCTAGAAGAAAACACAGGAGAAAATCTCCATAACCTGAGTTTGGGCAAAGTACTCTTAGACATGACATGAAAAACACAAGCCATAAAAGAAAATAACATCAATGAACTGGGGAGTCTCTCTCAACCTATTCTGGCTTGGGGGCTGCCCAATTTTTTTAAAAAAATCAATAAATTAGACTTTATCAAAATGTAAACATTTTAATGAGGAAAAGACACTGTTAAGAGAATAAAATGAGAGAAAATAATATGCAATCACATATCCAACAAAGGGTTTATATCCCAAGTATATAGAAAACTCACGCCTGTAATCCCAGCACTTTGGGAGGCCAAGGCAGGCAGATCACTTGAGGTCGGGAGTTCGAGACCAGCCTGACCAACATGGAGAAACCCCGTCTCTACTAAAAATACAAAATTAGCCGGGTGTGGTGGCACATGCCTGTAATCCCAGCTACTCAGGAGGCTGAGGCAGGAGAATCACTTGAACCCGGGCAGGGTTGTGGAAATTGCAGTGAGCTGAGATCACGCCATTGCACTCCAGTCTGCGCAACAAGGGCGAAACTCCGTCTCAAAAAAAAAAAAAAAACCTCTCAAAACTCAGCATTAAGAGAACAAACTACCCAATTAAAAAAATTAAGAAAAGACTTGGACACTTCACCAAAGAGAACACAGATGGCAAATAACTATATGAAAAGATGTTCAACATCATTAGCCACTAGGGAAATGAAAATTAAAAACATGACAAGCTACCTTTATACATTTACTAAAATGAGTACAATTTTAAAATATTGGCAATACCAAGAGCTAGTGAGGGTAGAGAACAACTGGAACATTGCTGATGGAATGTAAGATGGTATAGCCACTGCAGAAAAGAGTTTGGCAGTTTCTCATGAAGTTAAACATACATTTACAACGTGACTCAGAAAACCCACTTCTGGATATTTACCCTGGAGCAGAACTCAGCAAACTTTTTCTGTAATGGGCCAAACAGTAAATATCTTTTTTCCTCCAGATCAAAGTAATAATGGGAGGCATTACTAAATGGACTGCACTCTTTTTGTTTCGTGTTTATTTTCTTCCATTTACTATCTAACAACCTCTCCCCCAAAGTAGCCTGGTTCAAATTAATTGTGTTGGCCAGGCACGGTGGCTCACGCCTGTAATCCCAGCACTTTGGGAGGCTGAGGTGGGCGGATCACGAGGTCAGGAGATCGAGACCATCCTGGCTAACACAGTGAAACCCCGTCTCAACTAAAAATACAAAAAAAAAAAAAATTAGCTGGGTGTGGTGGCAGGCGCCTATAGTCCCAACTACTCGGAAGGCTGAGGCAGGAGAATGGCGTCAACCTGGGAGGTGCAGCTTGCAGTGAGCCAAGACCACACCACTGCACTCCAGCCTGGGCGACAGTGCGAGACTCCAAAAAAAAAAAATTAATTGTGTTAAACCACTGAGAGCTGAGGTAGCTAAGACTTCACATCTTAAGTTTCTTTCTATAGTATGTCCCAATAACAGCACTTCCACCTGTACAAAATCCCCAACTTGCTCAAAGGTTTCTTGTCTCACCCTTTTAAATAACTCCTTTCATTTATGTATAAGTTGAGCAACAACACTGAATTCAGAGATTCAAATGTAAATCAAAGGTCTTTTAATTTTATAACATTGGGAAAACTTTAACTAAGTAATGGAATTTAGCAGTATCGGCCTTAGATTCCTGATATGGTTTGGCTGTGTCCCTGCCCAAATCTCATCTTGAATTATAGCTCCCATAATTCCCATGTGTCGTGGGAGGGACCTGGTGGGAGGTAATTGAATCATGAGGGGCGTGTCTTTCCCATGCTGTTCTCATGATAGTGAATAAGTCTCACGAGATCCAATGGTTTTATAAAGAGGAGTTCCCTTACACAAGCTCTCTCTTGCCTGCCGCCATGTAAGACATGACTTTGCTCCTCATTCACTTTCCACCATGATTGTGAGACCTCCCCAGCCATGTGGAACTGTGAGTCATTCAAACCTCTTTCCTTTATAAATTACCCAGTTTTGGGTATGTCTTTATTAGCAGTGTTAAGAACAGACTAATACAATTCCTAAAATGAGTAAATGGAAAAAAGGAAATTCTAACATCTCCTAAAGGTAAAGGATTACACCAAATTGCCAGGAATACGTGTACAACATGAATACCTCTCTGTTTTGCTAACAGAGCTCTAAAAAGCTTTAGAACTGAACTATTATATATAGTAAGGGTTTTGATCTTAAAGAAATGTAGAGCCGGAAAGGAATTTTGAGATATTTTAAGTCAAGCAGAAGAAACGTAACTCTATGGTTCCTCCCTGCCTGAATGAATTAGTTGAAAAGAAAAACACAGATGGTAAATATAATTAATTTACACCACCTCCTGTTCACTATCCCCCAAAGCACTAATTGATATGTTCATTCATTCAACTGGTTTTATTTTCTTCAGAGAGACACAGGGTTCTACCACTGCAGAAGACATAAAAGTATACTAGAATTCTATCATGAAGTAATTAATGCAATTCAAGAGAAAGTAGAACGTGACGGAAGATAGAGGGTGGAAGGAAAAAAGAAAAATTAAAACAGATAAACATTTTAAATAGTATACACAATTTGCCTGCCTTTCCAGTCAACAGATGTATGCCCTGGAGTACAGATAGACTGGAATCTTGAATATGCTGTTCCCTGTCATATTCAGCTCTCATGCCCATCATCATGTCAGCATCTCATATGCCCATCATCATGCCAGCATCTCACTTAGCTGTGTGATTTTTGCTTTTTAAAGGTATGTTTTCTTCCATATAAAACTTAAGTCAACTTTTTAATTGAGGTAATACAATCCCTGTCTTCAAGAAGTTTGCTCACTTATTGGGAATAAAAAACAAACTGTGAAATAATACAATACACACGAAAATATGTACGTACCACAGAAGCTAGGAAAAGAAGTCATTGTGAGCTGAAATATGAAGGGAAGAGATACAAAAGACAGCGAGAACATGCCCGGGTAGTAACCTTCCTGGGGAGACAGCTGGTACTGAGAAGAAGAGGAAATAAGATTATATCTATAAATACAAATTCAGATTATAGGATTACTTTTAAAAGTCAGATACTAGACTTTAGGCCAGGGAATACAAAATTCCTGTTTTATCACCACACAGGTGACAACAGAGGGAAGTAGGCTTCCTATATGACAATAGGGAGCAGTGGGACTGTGTTTAAATAAAGAGAACATTCACCACCCAAAGTGGGGAGACACTATTCAGCTCTAGTCTCTTGCTGATATTTGGAAACACAGACCCAGGCTACCATATCCTCCAATTCTTTAAAAGTAATTGGAAAGTCAAGAGTTTTTATGAAAGTTAAAGAAAGAGGACATTAACAATGAAGGAAGGTTTATGAGCAAGCAGGGAGGAATGAAATCCAAACAAAAGGACTGGGTCTTGATAGGAGGGACATTCTACACTGCAGCAGAAAGAATAAAGGGAGGGAGCACCCAAAAGATAAGGCAGGCTTGGGCCAGGTTATTAAAGCACGAGAATCCTTAACATTATGTTATAAACAACAGAAAGCCAGTAGGTAAAAGGAACTGATAACATACGGGTCAGAGGGAAGGAATGAAGAGCTGTCGGGAATGATGGAGGCTAGTTTGCTAAATGGGGATTTTTTTTAAAGATGGGAGTATCTTGGCTCAGCACAGTGGCTCATGCCTGTAATCCAGCACTTTGGGAGGCCAAGGTGGGTGGACTACTTGAGGCCAGGAGTTCAAGACCAGCCTGGCCAACATGATGAAACTCCGTCTCTACAAAAAATACAAAAATTAGCCAGGCATGGTGGTGTGCACCTGTAGTCCCAGCTACTCAGGAGGCTGAGGCACAAGAATTGCTTGAACCTGGGAGGTGGAGGGTGCAGTGTGCCAAGATCCTGCCACCCGCCACTGCACTCCAGCCTGGGCGACAGAGTGAGACTCTGCCATCCCGCCACTGCACTCCAGCCTGGGCGACAGAGTGAGACTCTGCCATCCCGCCACTGCACTCCAGCCTGGGTGACAGAGTGAGACTCTGCCTAAAAAACAAAAAAGATGAGATTATCTTTATATCCTGGAGGATAAGAGCATTCATGGTATAATGAAAACACATGGGCTTTAGAGCAGCCCTTCACTCAAAGACTAGCTCGGCTCTTGCCAGCTCTATCACTCACATTGTGCACATTACCTAACTTCCACAGATCTTCATTTGCTCACTGATACCACTTCCCTTGACAGGATTGTTTTCAACATTAAGTAAGAAGCCATGTGTAAGCACTTGTTAAACGGCCTGGCACAGCAGATACTCAATCAAGGTGTTTCTTCTCACTAGAAGCATTACTGGTTATCTGTGTTGGCACAGAAGTTAGTCTCCCTACTGCAGAATGAAGTAAAAAGGCTTGGGAGGGCTTTCTTTTTAACAAAAAGTCTTATCAAAGGATAAAAAGTTTCTAAGGGAACCAGAGAAATTAACCTAACCAGGAAACTATACATGGAAAAATCTAAGGTTACAAGAAAAAAACATCATTTTGAAAATGGTATTAATAGGATGATTAATGTAAGCATATGACACAGAGACAGGAAAGAATAAAGAGATTAACTAGAACACACTATAGGTATAAGGTTCTCACTGAGCAAGGAGCCCAAACCTAGAGTCCATAGGATCCATTAATGGACTTCAGAGTTGTGACTCCTTGAAACTGTAAAATTGTGACCATGTGCAAAGGTTCTATGGAAAGCTGAAAAATGCACCCCTCCACAACCCCAAAGATATCCATGTCAAATCCCTGGAACCTGTGAATGTTACTTTATATGATAAAAAATGTGATTAAGTTAAGAATATTGAGAGGAAGTGCTTATCCTGGATTATCCAGATGAACCTTAAATCCAACGACTCGAGTCCTTGTGTAACAGAGATACACAGAGAAGAAAGGGCAGTAATGTGACCCTGGAGGCCGAGGCTGAGTGATGCAGCCACAAGCCCAGGAATGCAGCCCAGATGTTGGAAGAGGTGAGGGATCTCCCCCAGAACCTCTGGAGGGATCTTGGCCCTGCTGACACCTTGATTTGAATGTCGGGCCTCTAGAACAGTGAGAGAATAAGTTTATGTTTCTTTAAGCACTTCTGTAGTAATTTGTTTTGGTAGTCACAGGAAACTAACACAGGTGCACCCTTCTAGAGGGAGGGGCTATTTACTTTCATCAGATTCTGAAAGAGGTTCTAATAAACCTCCAAAGGTAAAAGAACTACCACTGCAGAAAGTAAGCAAAACTGTCTATAAATAAAAGAATTAAAAAATTTTTAAACGAGCAAAACAAGTAGTTATTTGGATAAGGTCTCATAGCTACTAAATGCTGAAGTAAGAATTTATCTATGAATATAACTCAATATTCATTTCATTATCTCTTGGGGTTCAACTCTACGAATGCATTAAAAGGAAGTGATTCCCAAACAATTCAATAATTTGTTAAAAATATAAGTTCCCAGGCTCCACCCCGATGTACTGATACAGAATCTCCAGGGTACAGGAATATATATATTTATGCTTATAAATACGTATGTTTTCTTACTTAAAGCTCCTCAAATAATTCAGATGTTTAGACAAGGTTAGAAATTATGACTACGAAGCAGGGGTCCTCAAACTTTTTCTATAAAGGATCAGAGAGCAAAATTTTCAAATATGCAGGCCAAGAGGCAAATGAGGGTATTATGTCGGTACTTATGTAACAAATTTGTTTTCTAACAAATTTCTACGAAAATTTTATTGACAAAATTCAAAATAAAAAATTAATAATAATTGAATACAATTTATATAATGCAGGTCTACTAATGACAAGAATGGAATTATTTCTCAGGAGAGAACATTTTGCTTAACTGGAGTTCAAAGTTAGTGTTCTCTTAGCATCAGGTTGATTGCAAATGTTCATCTGTACAAGCTTCTTAGCTGGAGGGGAGTTATGAAACAGGCAGTGAGCTGGATTTGGCCCAAGGGCTGTAGCTTGCCAACCTCTGCAGTAAGGTACATGAAAGAAGAAAGAACCACAACCCCTGCCCTTAAGCAATTTACAAGTCTGTTAAAGAGACAGGAAAAGAAAAGGTAATAGTCAAGAACATGAAGGAGAAATCTGAATGTTGTAGAGCAATGATTCCTAACCTTGTCAAGTATGAACATTCTTTTTTAAGGTCAAAAAATGTGTCCAGCCTTAACATATCAGTTCTTTTAGAATTGAGTGAAAATATCCATAATAAAAGTAACAACAAAATTTAAAAGCTTTTAAAGGATTTCTTATTAATCAAAACAGCAGCCACATATATTTGAAAAACATTAGCACATATTTACAAGACACATTATTTATTCATCCACAGATGGTACTTAATATGCGTATGGATTCCTGACCCCCTGAGATAACTCTGAAGCACTGGAGGAAATCTCAGCCCAATAGTTAGGAACCACAACTACAGAGTTGATGCCAAAGAGGTTCAGAGGGAGGCAAAGAGTGGAAACTGGAGCAGTGTGGAAGGGTGTCACAAGGTTAGACAGGCAGGTAGAAATTTTCAAAGAAACAAAGAACAGATTTTGGGGAGAGGAAGAATGAAACTGAGAAAATGAGGAGGGGTTGCAGGAGAGCAGCCTTACTAAAGAGCTTGGAACAGGACCAGATCCATGGGGGCTCTGGACCACTCAGCCTGATTCTGCCAACAGAGCCAACATTTAAGTGCTTTCCATGTATGGAGTGCTGATATGCATTCTTTCATTCAATCCTCACCAAGAACAGTTTCCTAATACACTAGCTGTGTAAGTAAATGATCCCGGTTTCATCAGGTACAACCCTAAGTGGGTCAGGATCTAGACTTTTCCACCTTAAAAAATAAAAAATGTAAAAAGTCTTCCCTTGACCCTATATCACTCCCTCCAGTATCACCCTCTACTCCTTCACAGCCAAACTTCTGGAAAATCATACATTCTTGTTTCCATTTTGTCCTCTCCCATTCATCATTCATCTTCGACCCACTCCAATCTAGTTACACTTCTACCACCTCAACAAAGCTGCTCTTGCTAAATACAATAAAAGATATGTCAGCTCTCATCTTGGAAAATGTAAATAAATGCTCAGCTGCATTCAGCGGGTCCCTGCATTGAAACACTGTGGACTTCTGTGACCCCACACTCTTAAGGCTGGCATTCCTTCCACTTCTTCTCTTCCCATCTTCCTCTCTTAACCTCCAAATGGTGGCATTCCCTCACAAGTTAATCCTGGGCCTCTCGTCACTTCGTACTGAGATATCCCTAGGTGATAGCAGCTTTAAACACCATGGATAATTTGCCGATTTCTCTTTCTAGCTCAAGTTTCCCTTACAAGTTCCAGACTGCACATCCATGTCAATTTCACAGCTCCACTTGGATGTTTTTCATCTACCCTATGCTAAATTTTTAAATTTTTAAAATCTTTCCTCTCAGTTACCTCCTCTCTAAACTTCCCCATCTACCCAGCAGCTCACACCAGAAACCTCAGGGGCATCCCTGTCACCTCTCTCTCTACCTCATCCTCCATGTCTAATCTCTCAGCAAGTCCTGACAATTTTCCCTCCTATAAAACTCTCCAATCAGTTCACTTTCCATCTCCACTGCCATCATCACTAGACCAACCATCACCCTCACCTGATAAGGTGAGAATCTTCCACACGGTCTCCTGGCCACACACACTGGCTTCTCTTGAGTCCATTTCTACAAAGCTGCAGAGTAGAATTACAAATGGGAATCTGATTTCATCATTCCCTTACTTAAAACTCTTCGATGGTTTCCTCAAGATAAATTTCAAAATCCTTAATATGCACTACAAAGCTTTAAAGGATTTGGCCTCACCAGCTTCCCTCAACCACTAAACTCCTCTCCCCCTCACTCCCTCCCTGCTGCAGCCACTGGCCTTCCCTTTGTTCCTCAAACATGACAAATGCTTTTCTTTTTTTTTTTTTTTTTTTTTTTGAGACTGAGTCTTGCTCTGTCACCCAGGCTGGAGTGCAGTGGCACAATCTCGGCTCACTGCAAGTTCCGCCTCCCATGTTCACGCCATTCTCCTGCCTCAGCCTCCTGAGTAGCTGGGACTACAGGCGCCCGCCACCACGCCCGGCTAATTTTTTGTATTTTTTTTAGTAGAGACGGGGTTTCACCGTGTTAGCCAGGATAGTCGCAATCTCTTGACATTGTGATCCACCCGACTCGGCCTCCCAAAGTGCTGGGATTACAGGCGTGAGCCACTGCGCCTGGCTTTTCTGCCTTTGTGCATGCTGTCCCTCCTCCTAGCTTCACCTGGCCAACTCCTACTGATTCCTCAGGTCTCAATTTCAGTGTTCCTTTCTCAAGGGCATCCCTCCCTGGCACCACTAGTCTCAAGCTCAAGTCCTCTGTCTCATCCTCTCATAGCCCTTTTCACATGTGATTCCGTGGTTATGATGTGACTCCTGTTGTCTCTCTCCCACACTAACATGTAAACTTCTTAAGAACAGCAACTATGTTGTTTTGTTTGCCACTGTACTCCCAGCCACCAGCACAATATCTGACACAGAGAAGGCACTCAAATTTTTGCATTAGAATAGGTGACTGAATTAATAAATTGCTTTGAAGCACTGCAAAATTTACAAACATAAAATCTAATTAGTTAATATTTTATTCAGACTACGGCCTAAATTATTTTTATTGATTGATTAAAGCAAGAACTCGATTGAGCTACACTACTAGCTAGGCCTGAATAGCCTCAGATATATTTCTAAGACTACCTCATAAGTTAGCTTTTATTCATTTACACATGCCTTTTCCCAAAAGGCTAACATAATTATTTTCCTAGACATTAATATAATAATGATCATTCTAATAATAATGAAATTATCATTTATAGAGTGCCAAACACCAGGCTTCACTTTACATTCAAGTTTCATAACCTCCATTTTTACAGATGATGAAACTGAAGCTCAGAGAAATTAAGCAACTAGCTCAAAGATAAAACTAGCAAGTGGGAGAAACAGGATCCAACCTCATACTAGCTCAAAAATCAATGTTTTTTCCCCAACACATCATGCTATCTCTAATATACTTATTTTGCAATATCTATTATTTGTTGAAAATACATCTGTATACAAATATCTGAGGCTTAACACAGCTTAGAATGATTATTTACACTTTATAATGGCTGCTCAATTCAGAGTCTCATATACAAAAACAAATTCTATCCCAACCGTATAAAACAGCCTGCAACAATTATTCCAAATGACATCCTAGTTCCTTATCCATGTAACCTATACTTATAAATTTAGCCCCCAGTTAATTTTCTTCCCTTCAAGGACCTCAATTAACTTTAATAAATGGAACCATCATATTAGGGGGAAACGTATATATTGATCTCTGTTTTTCAAAAAACTTGTCACAAATGCATTTTGAACATGCAGTTCATAACGAACTCAACTATTCATAAAACCATCCGTCGCTGGGCATGGTGGCTCACACCTGTAATCCCAGCACTTTGGGAGGCAGAGGCAGGTGGATCACCTAAGGTCCGGAGTTCGAGACCAGCCTGGCCAACATGGCAAAACCTCGTCTCTACTGAAAATACAAAAATTAGCCGGGCATGTGGCCGGCGCCTGTAGTCCCAGCTACTCAGGAGGCTGAGGCAGGAGAATCACTTGAACCCAGGAGGTGGAGGTTGCAGTGAGCCGAGATCGCACCACTGCACTCCAGCCTAGGGGACAGAGTGAGGCTCCATCTCAAAAAAAAAAAAAGAAAGAAAGAATTTTTAATAATCTAGATTTTAGATAATTATATTCTTAAGAAGAAATGAGACATTCTACTAACTAATGAGTGTATAAACAACTGGCAACATTTTACCATGTCAGTAATAGGATACATGAAACTTGAAAAACCTTGTGACCACAGCTTTTGGTAATGGTGCTTCATTTTTTCGTTCCTATTAAATGCCTCTGCTTCATAAAATCAGCAGTTGAGATTACTAACAAACTTTCAGGTTTTTTGTTTTTGTTTTTGTTTTGAGACAGAGTCTCACTCTGTCCAGAGACAGGCTGGAGTGCAGTGGTGCGATCTCAGCTCACTGCAACTTCTGCCTCCTGGGTTCAAGCAATTCTCCTGCCTCAGCCTCCCGAGTAGCTAGGACTACAGGTATGCACCACCACACCAGTCCAATTTTTGTATTTTTAGCAGAGACGGGTTTTCACCATGTTGGCCAGGCTGGTCTCAAACTCCTGACCTCAAGTGATCCACCCGCCTTGGCCTTCCGAAGTGCTAGGATTACACGCGTGAACCACCGTACCCAGCCAACTTTCAGTTTTTAATGGCAGGGTTCATTAGTCTTAGGCACTACTAGGGCATATAAATGCAAAACCATGCTTAACAGAAATAGACTAGTAATTATAATTTAAATATTTTAAAATGAACATCACCCAAGTCTCTGGGATCCAAGCAAGTATCCTTAATAAGTAAAGTAGGCCCAAAATAAGACAAGAAGCAGGATCTTGGATAAACTGGACAGTAAAGGGGGTGGTCATCATGCAGCTCCAGCAAATCGTTACTATGCAGGAACAAGGGCTCAGCATGGCCAGATCTCTAATTTCTCAAGAATAGCTGGAAATGTGGAATTTGTTTTCATGTTTTGTGAAATCTCCCTAATTTGAAATGTTGACAACTAATTTAAGTTTAAATAGTGCTAAGACAAAATAAAACAGATCAGCTTCTGAATATGGCCACTAATTTGCAAACTCTGAAAAGAAACTCCTAAAACAAAGCCTAAATACTCAGCAAACCCTAATTTTAGATTAGGAATGGTAAACTCTTATGTAACAATATTTGTCAAACTTTGGAGTGCACTAGTGATCTTTAAAGTTCTCAAGGCAGACCAGACCCTAGAGCTTTACTGTATTAATGTCACATTTATTTCATATTCCTTACTAAAGTACCAAAGGTAACTCACTCCTTCCATTCGTTTTGATGACATTTTCTTACTGCAGCCAAATGGAAATAGAGTGGATGTCTTAAACATATGCTACTGGTAAGCAGTCTAAGAATCAAAACACGTTGGAAACCACTGGGAGACAAAAGAAACACACTTTGGAGCCTACTTTATGCTTTTCAACAGACCTCAAAGAAAATTAATTAGATGGTAAAATTGCTCTCCATTCTATAATAATCAACCAGTGTACAATAGGATGGTGGCAGTGCTATTTTAATTATAATTACATAGTTAAACAAAAATCTTGTGTTGTACTTTTTGGTATGGACATAGCAGCATTATAGGCATGAATCTTCTGGGAAAATACAGATAGCAACAAGGAGAAAAAACTGCGCAAAACTGCTTTTTCAGAAAACCTAGGAGAAAAACAAAAATATAAAAATCCCAGGCCGGGTGCGGTGGCTCATGCTTATAATCACAGCACTTTGGCAGGCCAGGTGAAAGGACTGCCTGAGGCCAGGAGTTTGAGACCAGTCTGGGCAACTTGGCAAGGCCCCATCTCTACAAGAAAATTAAAATAATTACCTAGGCATGGTGGTACATGCCTGTCGTCTTAGCTACTTGGGCTGAGATGGGAACGATCACTTGAGGCCAGAAGTTTCAGGCTGTAGTGAGTTGGAATGCACCATGGTATTACAGCCTGGGTGACAGAACAAGACCCTGTCTCCAACAACAACAAAAAAAACCAAAAAATTTAAATCTAAAAAATAAAACCACCAAAGTACCTGAGAACAAGGCTGAGATCAAACAAGGCATACAATCTATGCTGGGGTGGAGAGCAGCTTATAGGGCAAGACAGTGTGGCATGTGATGAAGAGGGCCTGACAGTGGCAGATCTCAGAAAGCAACAGAACAATACCTTTCCTTAAGAAAAGAGTTGCCGCGCACGGTGGCTCACGCCTGTAATCCCAGCACTTTTGGAGGCCGAGGCGGATGGATCACCTGGGGTCAGAAGTTTGAGATCAGCCTGGCCAACATGGTGAAACCCCGACTCTACTAAAAATACAAAAATTAGCCAAGCATGGTGGCAGACGCCTGTACTGCCAGCTACTCGGGAGGCTGAGGCAGAGAATCGCTTGAACCCAGGAGGCAAGAGGTTGCAGTGAGCCAAGACTGCACCACTACACTCCAGCCTGAGCAACAGAGTGAGACTCCGTCTCAAAAAAAAAAAGGCAGGCAGGGGGGTGGTTTACATTGGCATGCTGGAGCCATGTCCCTCCAATCACAGCTGCAAAGGAAGGAGTGGAAAGTTCAGAATTAGCGGCAAAAGACCTTCTAGAAGGTCTAGACATTTTTTTAGAGAGGCAGAAGACTTGTGGCCACACAGAGAAACACACCCAGGTGTCATATGTGAAAAAGACTACCTCTGAGGCAGAAATCTGGAAATCTACCCTGGCCCCATACAAACCTCCTACAAATAACAGATTGAGGAAAATCCAATTCATTAAGTCACAAGGAAAAAAAGGTAACTGGCATGGTACTGACTGAGAGATACTTTAAGAAAAATGATAGATAATGTACCAACTGTCAGAGTACACTAAAAAAAAATTACAATGGAGAAGACAAAAATTATAACTGAATAATTTTGCTTGATTTTAAGAAAATCAGTGAAGCCATCATCACTAAGAACAAGACCACAAACAAGAAATACAAGAACTCAAGGGAGAAATGTCTAGATAACAGGAATAGGGAAGCATGAATTGGTAGAACTAAACAAAAAAAAAAAATAGAAGAATAAACAAAGCCATCACAGAAATGAAGAAGAAACTGATAGGAGAACAAAGAAGAGACGTTGCAGAAAACACAGTAAAAGACATGAAAGAAACAAACAAATGAAAAACGGTTTAAAAGGATTAAAGGAAAAATAACAGATATAAAAGACATACAAAAGGAGATTCAACATACATATAACTAAGGTCTCCAAAAAGGAAAACCAAAACAATGAGACAAAGTAAATATTTAAAGATATGATTAAAGAAAACTTTCCTGAAATGAAAATACGTTTGAATCTAAATATTAAAAAGGCACACATGTACCAGGAAAAATTGAGCTACACAGTCAATACCACTATATCCTAATAAAGTTACTAGATATGAGAGATAAAGGGAGAATCCCTTTGGGCAGAC